>NT_167244.2:4020686-4270551 GCF_000001405.40 Homo sapiens
GGCCAAGGAGGGAAACAGAAAAGGAAGTACTTTTCAAAGGGAAGAGCACAGAATTCTGAGGACAGGTAGACTAATGAGAAACTCCCAAGGAAAGGAGTCAGGGGCTAACCAAGGAATATTGTCCACCCCTAGAGGGGATGTGCAAGGCAGCATTTGTTCAGTGGAATTTCAGAATTGCCAGGGATCAGTGACTGTTCAGTCCCCCATTCTTTCCGTTTTTGAATGGGCATGTTTACTATCATTATCTTGACCCAGTTTCAGCACTGTGTATTGAGTGCTGATGGAAAGACAACTTTGTTTCTATTGTTGTGGCTTGTATGTCTTAGAATTAACGAAAGAGGAGGCCGGGTGCAGTGGCTCAGGCCTGTAATTCCAGCACTTTGGGAGGCTGAGGCGAGTGGATCATGAGGTCAGGAGATGGAGACCATCCTGGCTAACACGGTGAAACCGTGTGTCTCTACTAAAAATACAAAAAATAAGCCAGGTATGGTGGCACACGCCTGTAATCCCAGCTATTCAGGAGGCTGAGGCAGGAGAATCACTTGAACCCAGAAGGCAGAGGTTGTGGTGAGCCGAGGTGGCGCCACTGCACTCAGTCGACAGAGTGAGACTCCATCTCAAAACAAACAAAAAAAAAAAAAAAGAAAGAAAAAGAAAGAAAGAAAGAAAGAAAAAGAAAGAAAGAGAAAGAAAGAGGAAAGAAACACATGAAAAGGTGGCTCACCAGTCACGGCACACTTATTTTAGAGAAAACAAACCTGAGAGGCGCCTTCTGGCCGAGTTAGGTCAGAGGCACGCTCTCTTATAGACTAAGTTTTTTAAGGATTCAGAGTGGGAGAGTTTATCCAAGGCTTGGACTGCTTCTGTGTCTCTTTGTTGTGCTTATCTAGGAGGGAGAGTTGTGTGTCTGTTCCCATACATCTTTTTTGCAGCTGCAGGCATATCCCCAGAGTCTGCTTTTAGCTTCCCTATCTTAGTGCACCTGAAGGGAAAGGAATGTGCTTATTAAGGCCCACTGTTTTAGGGCCCATTGTATGAGGGTGAAGTTTGGCAGTTACCCAGGGGACCTTCCCCCAACCTTTCTCTGTGCCCAAACTCTCTTATCTGTGTTTTACTGTCTGCTCTTTCTGGCTATTTGTAGTTAGAAGAGAAGTGATTTCCTTGAAATGCATGAGGCTAGAAAGGGAGCTGGAATTTAAAGTGGCGGTGTTTGTCCGAGATGACAGGGCTCCAGCTCTATCAGTATGTTTCTGGATTAAGGAGAACTGCATTCTGACCTGCATCCTGATTGTGAGATTTTGAACTTGATGGCTGATGCCATGATTGCATGAGACTTCTGGTGATCCCAGATTAGGGGTAAGCATATTTTTCATATTGGAAGAATATGAAAAATTGTAGCAATAAAAGTGGACTCTAATAGATTATGATGATGATCCTAATTCATCATCCCTCCCTATATCCACGCCCTTTGCAATCTAACTTTACTATGCTCTCCCATTATGGATGGGTGACTTGAATTGCCTCTCAACATTAGGCCTAACCATGTGTTCCTCTACAGCCAAGGAGTTATTAGCAAATGTCACACACTCTGGGCCTTGAAATTGGCGTATGTATTGGAGCTAACATTTTGCTTGCTTCTGCATTGCCATAAGGACATTTCTAGGCAAGTCCACCGGCCCTAAGAAGAGGATGAGAGGCATGTGAAGAAGAGTCCACCTTGGATACATAGGTGAGCTTGGCCAAGGTTAGCAGTGCCACCTAGCTGACCCAGACATATAAGCATATTGTTATCTGCCACTGGTGATTTGTGTTGTTTGTAATGCAGCATTGTTGTGACAACAGATGACTAATACACTAACTAATGTACCTTTTAAAATGTTGTCTATGATCTGTTCCTGCACCACTAAAATATACGTCCCATGAGGACAGGAATAATTTTTTCTGCCTTATTTCTGTTGTATCTTTAGTACCTCCAACACTTTCTGGCACAAAGCAGTTTTCTCAAATATATATATACACACATATGTATATATGTATATATATATTTAAACAGAGTCTCATTCTGCTGCCCAGGCTGGAGTGCAGTGGTGCAATCTCATTTCACTGCAACCTCTGCCTCCCAGGTTCAAGTGATTCTCCTGCCTCAGCCTCCCAAGTAGCTGGGATTACAAGCATGCACCACAACACCTGGCTAATTTTTGTATTTTTAGTAGAGACAGGGTTTCACCATGTTGGCCAGGCTGGTCTCGAACTCCTGACCTCAGGTGATCTGCCGGCCTCAGCCTCCCAAAGTGCTGGGATTACAGGTGTGAGCCACCACGCCCAGCCAAAAATATTTTTAGTGAATAATGAATTTCAAATTTTAAAAACCTTCTTATGAAAAGACCTCTTGGAGAGTTTAATGTACATACATATTCCAGAGTTTGGACAATTCAGTAGATTGGTACCTGGGGTATGCTGAAGAATGCTGAAGTCCAAGAGTCAACTTAGCTACATGTTTTTGAAACAGAAAAAATTCCCTTGTTCCCCTTGCAGGGAGTGCGATGTGGCTCTCTTCTCCAGTGCCCGCTGCTCAGACCTCCGGGGGAGCATACAGATGGTCAGGCTGTGAGGCTCTGATCCCACAGCAGTGTCTGGGGGTGAATGTTTACAGCTCCTGAAGCCCCAGTGGGTGTGTTCCTCTGCTGATGTGCTCTCTCTCAACGTCCAGCAGCTTCTGTCCCTGCCTTGCTAGGGTCTCAGGTTTTTATAGGCACAGGATGGGGCATGGCAGGCCAGAGTGGTCTTGGGAAATGCAACATTTGGACAGGGAATGCCTGTTCTCACCTAGGTCCGTGGGGATGGAGCCCTAGCCAGGGACCATACCCTCCTCTACCCAGCACTTCTGCTCCCTGCTTCCCTATCATTTAAAGGGACCACACTCTTGCCTTCCTAGCACTCACGTACCATTTTCAAGCAGAGAAAAGAACAAGTAGCTACACTAGGATTTGCCTGACTTCCAGAAGGAAAGAGATTCATCTTTCCTTGGCAATCGACATAGACCAAAAGTAAGGGAAAGGTCTGGGGTCTGCTTGTCTTAGTATCTCAAGGCAGCCTCCAAGAGAAACAGATCATAGAAGAAAGAGGCTGCTAGTATTCCAGAGTGCCTAGTGACTGAGAATTCCATGAGAATGGAGATGCAGTAGCCCTCACCGGGCTCTGAACTACGGGAGTGTGGATTCTCAAAGAATTCATGAAAATGTTCACAATAGAGTCTTCTTATGCATCTGTTTTCCCTAGAGCATTCAATTCAAGCACATGAAGTATCAGGCAAGTAAAAACTGTCCTCTTCTGCTCTTCATGCCTCAACTCACAGGGGTCTGAAACTATATCAAGTAGAAGAAATAGAAGCACAAGCTGTAGAAACAAAAGAAGCTAATTTTGCACCTTCACTGTTTGTGAGCTTCTCATCTGCAACACTCTTGAATAGGCAAGAGTGTGAGGCCTCAGTTTTGAATAAAATATAGAAATTTGACTATTGAATGGGACTAATTGAATACCTTTCTTTTTTTACTTAAACATTATCAGAGAGGTTATGAAGACTTCCTGAATGCTCATTCAAGGTAAGGAATTGGCTAACCCCAAAGAACACACTGAAAAGAAAAAATGATGATAGGATTAAATTAAATATGTTTTATTACATTGCATCAGTTTAGATGTTCAATATATTCTTTTTTAATAAAGAAAAGTTTATTTGGCTAATGATTTTCAGGTTGTACAAGAAGGATGGCACCAGCATCTGCATCTGATGAGGACCTCAGGGTGCTTCCACTTGTGGCAGAAGAAGGGGAGCCAGCATGTGCAGATACCACACGGCGAGAGATGAAGGAAGAGAAAGAGGAGGAAGGTTCCAGGCTCTTTTTAACAATCAGACCTCACAGGAACTAATAGTGTGAGAAGATGTTTAACATATTCTAATAAGATATTCCTAATAAACTGCCATGAGATAACTGCTGTATTAGTCTGTTGTCATGTTTCTAATAAAGACATATCCAATACTGGGTAATTTATAAAGGAAAGAAGTTTAATGGACGCATAGTTCCACATGGCTGGGGAGGCCTCACAATCATGGTGGGAGGCAAAGGAGAAGCAAAAGCATGTCTTACATGACAGCAGGCAAGAGAGAGCTTGTTCAGGGGAACTCCCATTTATAAAACCATCAGATCTTGTGAGACTATTACAAGAACAGCATGGGAAAGTCCCACTCCCCTGATTCAATTACTTCTGACTGGAACCCTCCCAAGTCACGTGGGAATTATGGGAACTACAGTTCAAGATGAGATTTGGGTGCGGACACAGCCAAACCATATAAACTGCAGTTTATTTTTTAATTATGACTCATATCATAAAGAAAAAGGGTTGCTCCAATAATCTGTACCCCATTTCATATTCATAAGGAAAAGATTCTTTTATTGGCTAATTGTTCATGTTTAAATAAAAATCTTATAATTTTACAAGGTTTTGCCTTTTACACTTGATGCTGAAATCAAGAAGTCTTTTAAAAAATAATTTTCTTTTAAACTTTGAGTACAGCTTTTCACTAGGATTGCCAACATGATGAAATGAAGATTTCTCTTATTTAAAGAATATATTAAAGTGTTTATTATTAATTACTCTTTTAATGTAAAGATTTTTGTCTTTTGTGGTAATTTGACTTGTTTTGGTTTGGTTTCCGTTTGATACTGAGGATGAAGGGAAATTAGAGCAGAATTGCTTATTTACATTATTTCAAACTTCCAACCATGAAAGGAAAAGGTTTGGGATCTTGTTTGTAAAGCCAAGTGTGTGTGTGTGTGTGTGTGTGTGTGTGTGTTTGAAAGGGGCTTATTTACACTGGGTTTTACTTTGGTATGGAGGTAACTCTTATCCAAGTGTGGTTGGTTCGAAAGACAAGTAGGGATGATAAGAGGCTGCTTGGCACTAAGGATTTAGGTAGAGTTGGGGCTGAGTCATGGTTGTGTGGAAAGCTAGGATCATGGTTGGGGATGGAAGGAGGCTAAATCTGCTACACAATTTGAAACTAGGGCATGATAGTGTGACAAAGAAGAGATAGAGCTTGAAATAGAAGTAGTTACTTATTTAGCATGTGTATTAATTACTATATGATTAGTTCAGTGTCATCTGACTAAAATGGAGATTAATGTACTAATGATTAATTTATATGGGTTTTGTTTATATTATTATCTAATACAGGCTATGTAATAATCTAAGTTAGAGAGACAGTGTTTTATGAGACAAATAAGGTTGCTGCTATCAAAGAAATCAAATAAATGAAGAATGATTATCATATAGTAATGAGTGCTCTCTGAGGAGAAAAACAAAAGTAATTGGGAGTGATTGGAGGGAACTTCTTTAGGTTGAGTGACTAGAAATTGTTACTCTAGAAATACTCTATTTGAAAAGAGACCTGAATGCTAATAAAAAGCCAGCTATTCAAAATCTATAGCAAACCACTCCACACAGCAAGAACATAAGTGAAAACTGCTAATGAAGAAACAAATCTGCATATTAGAGAAACAGATAGGGAGTTAGTGTACTTAAGTTTACTGAGCGGCAAAAAGAATGTTATATTGTGGAATAAGTAAAACCATGGAGAAAAACACATTGTAGAAGAGCTACTCGGATTGCCCTGTGATTTTCTGGAAACTTCCTGGCCACAGCCGACTGAAAGGGACATTGTGGTAATGCTGGCTTCTCTAGACTGAAACCAAAGCCTATGACTTGAAAGATTAAAAAGAGATAATGAGCTTACCATTCATTAAAGAAAGCAAGCCATAAAAATAGCTTAAAATATGGAATAAGAGACAGGCATGTCAATTATTTCTCCTTGGCACTGGATTAACAAAAAATTGTTGTTGGTGGTGGTGGTATATTAAGTAGAAAAGGTCTATTGGGCCTAAAAATTATTGACATGTACATTATCTATTCTGTAATGAGGCCATCCCTCCTAGTTTCCACTGCAGAGGATTGGATCTGGAAATTGTGTTACTAAGAAAAATGCAGGAGAAGGTTTGAGTGTCCCTATTCCCATATGTAGTGGATTGTCATGCAACATACCTCTCAACCTCTTCTGGTGCATTTCTCCTGTACTGCAAAAGATGTGCAAATGAAAAGAACATTTCCTGGATAGCATTTGATGTCATTTAGATTTAGCCAATTAGAGGCATTCTGGTAAATTCTGGACATGCTGAAGGTCTTTTTTTTTTTTTTTTTTTGACCTGAAAAGGCACCAGTGTAGGGGTGCCTTATTTTCTGTGTCAGAATTAGGAGAGATTTTCATGTCTGATAACTGACTTCATGGATATAAAGAGGCAGCATGCAGGGTGTCTGTTACTGGTGCAGATTGTAGCAGGTGATCGTGGGGGCTTACTGAATGGAGGAGCTTCCCAAATATGGCTGTTCTGGGCAGCATGAGTTCCTGATTGTAGAAGAGGAGGTGGTTTCCTTGGTTGCCTGATTCAGTTCCTTCTATTGTCCTGATGATTCTCTAAGCTATATTAAGGTCTGTAATAAACTCCTTTCCGCTCAAAATCAACTAAGGTAAATTTTGTTCTCTGTAGCTATTCAATACTCCATGTCTACCACTTGAACAGACAGAATAAAAAACCTTTTTGATGGCAATTCAACACCCTCTTCTGTAATAAATAAATAAATTGTGACTTGAACTCCTACTCTAGTTGGCACTATATGTAGGAATATGGATTCTGGGTTTGTGTCTGTTTTCAGTGATCATTTATTACCTTGATCAGAGGGAGTCCTCAGCATCTTCACCCTCAAGGCCAAGACACGAAGACCCTCCTCCCAATTGCCCCTGAAATTGATCTTCTTCTTGGGAATTTTCGTTCAGCACACTGAGTCCCAATGGGTAACTGATTGCCTCTTTATTTTTTCATGGAGAACCAGAACAGAATGGAAGACTTGAGCAACATCAAAGAGTTAGCTATATTTGAAATCCATATAAAACTTACATTTTGAGTAATGAATAGGATACCATAGAGAACCCATCTCTTCTTGACATGTTTTCCCTGGTTCATAGAAATTAGATAGTAATTATTTTCTCTTGTTTCTGGCATTAAAAACCTAAGACAAAGTCTTAGAATAAGAACTTCAATATTGGCATATCCGGTGGGCTCAAAAACAAAACAAAAATGGCAGCTATAACATCTACTAGGTGTTTATTGTATGTCCCTTCCAATGCAGTACAGACAGAAAAAGAAGAAGCTATAAAGTTTGAAGAGAAAGAAACGCTATCATTTTTAGCAGATGTTATAACTAAGTACAAAAGAAATACACAAAATAATTTCAAAGGTAGACTATGCAATTGATAAGAGTGTGTAGCGAGATTGTTGATTTGAAGGTCTTGTATGATAAAGCATTGTATTTCTGTAGAAAATACAATATTGAAGATTTTTAAACTACCATTTTAAACAACATCATTTCATATTCATAAAAGGGAAATGTGGAAAACACAAAAGTTAATACTGAATAATAATGATGGAATTCTGCCTTATGAAAATATTACCACCACTACCACCATATATGTGTCAATGGACAAAAATAGCCAAGAAAATTTTGCAAAGGAAAATCAAGAATGAGGAAGAGGACACCCTAGATATCAAAGTATATTATAAAATAATAATGTGTGATATTGGCACAGCAGTACCAAAACTTTCCCAAGAAAGGACGAAAGATTTGAGAGACAGGTGAATTCCTGAAGAAAAAGTCATCATGTAGTCAACCAGCAAATATTTATTAAGCACCTACTGTATACCAGGCAGTGTTCTAGGTACTTAGAATATTGTTGAACAAAATAGACAAGGTCTCTCTTTTGATTTTATACTCTAAATAAATAGATGAATAAATGATAATGATAGATAATAATTGTAGATCAATAGATTGACAGAGACCAGAAAAATAAGAGATTATATGTTTATATTATGATCAATTAAGTGAAAACAAAATGACCAGGTAGAATAGACAATTTCATTGAACTGATTTGTTGGGGTTTAACTGGCATATTTCATTTCTTCAGTAAACAAGCTGATGCCCGTGACATGCCAACAGCTCACAGCTGTTCTTTGGCCTTCCTGTATATTTCTGCTTCCATTAGTTGAGTTTAACGTTTGCCAAAAGTTGCTGGCGTTTGCTCACAAATCTGTTCATCTCTATTGACTTGTTATTGTAATCATATATTTAAATAAAGTAAATATTTCATTATGAATTAAGAATGAATTTTAAAAGGGAAATTTTAAGTTCTTAAACCATTAAATGCTTTGGAAATAATAAAGATAAGTTGTCTAATAAAATATTATTAAATTGGATATAGGTAAAATAACTTTTAAAATGGAGAAAATGAGGTGAAAATCTAAAGTGTTTCTAAATTCAGAATTCTTTGTAATGTTTCACTCTAAATTCTCATAAACTTTTTAAAAAACTAAAATTTGATATGATAGAAAGTTTGTTATGGGTGTTGTTTAGGCATTTAAGATAACCTAAAACTCTAAACAACAGACACATTTTCCAAGTGAAGGTTTGGTTCTATGTCAACATACTGCCAAACAAATATACATGTATACATGTATTTACTTAAGTTAAAATAAAATGTTTACCACATTATATATTTACAAATCATTCTAATTATTCTCAACTGCAATTGACTTTTAAAAATAATTGTTCAACTACCAGGTCTTGCAATTGAATATATGGCTTTCACAAATGTGATAACTGATATGAAGAAAATTAATATTTAACTAAGAATAACTGAGTGGCAACTCCAAATTTGGTCATCAGGAAAATCTTTTCTTAGGTTATATTTAAGCTGAAACAAAAATAACATAAAGGAGCTAGAAATAAGACAATGTACATGTAACAATCAGGAAAAGAAATATTCCGGGCAGAAGGAACCATCCTAACGTAGACTAAACCTGAAATGTTAAAAAAACAGAAATGAGGTCAGTGGCAGAGATGGCTGGATTTCCACCAAAATTTGTGCACTCCTCCTCCTGCTGCTTAGTGATATTGCTCAGAAATGGCAGTCCAAGTAAGGACTCCACTTTCACGCTTTTTCATCTAGGTGGGGTCACATCACTAGTTCTCATCATGAAATGTGACTGAAAGTGAAGTGTGTTGCTGGCACACCAAGGAATTAAGTAATAAGTGTGCCTTCTCCACCCTCTCTCTTTTGCCTTTCATCATTGGAAGCAGAGAGCAGAAAGTCCAGTAAAAGAGCAGAATCACAGCATGTGAAGGGCCTGGGTTCCTGAGTCACTATGTGGAGAAAAATATCTAGGCTATTAGCAATCTGGCAATGGACTGTTATGTGAATAAGAAGAGAATGTCTATTTAGCTAGTCCCCTGAAATTTTTATCTTTATTCCGTATAGCAGCTGGTGTTACCCAAACTAATAAAATGAGACAGTTAAAAGGTAGACAGTGAACTCAGTAGTAAGGGCAAAGAGCAGATCACAGAAGATTTTATTAGCCAGGCAGAAGATTTGATTAGCCAGGTAAGAAATCTAGGTTTAATTCTAGATGCTATAAGAAAACATGTGAGGTGTTTAATCATGATACAGATGTGGTATAGATTAAGTTTTATAAACATTTCTAGCAGTTGTGTGGAAAATGAACTGTAGGAATCAAGAAGGAAGTAGGGCGATGGGGTAGGAGGCTATTTCAACAATTCAGGAGGAATACGGCAGTATGTTAAAGTCAAGTGGCTACAAAGAAGATGAATAAAATGGACTAGGTTGAGAAATATT
This sequence comes from Homo sapiens, assembly GCF_000001405.40. Lineage (NCBI taxonomy): Eukaryota > Metazoa > Chordata > Mammalia > Primates > Hominidae > Homo > Homo sapiens. The sequence goes on from NT_167244.2 coordinate 4,030,483, forward strand.
TTATCATTTAATTGATAGAATTCACCAACTGGCTGAATGTGGAAGTTGAGAATGTGACAAATCAAGGATAATTCCTCCTTCCCCTGATGCCTTTCTGTTATTTCTTTTATTAAATAAAACCAGTGATGTAAACTAAAAAGTGTGGAAGAAGCTAAAGGCAAGATACTCCCACACATCTGAAGTCATAGATAGGTAGGATCTAGTATTTCATAACTGTCCAATCTGATTATTTAAACCTTAAATAGGGGCAGGACTCCAAGAGCTAAGCTGCTATTGACTCCTCATTAGAAAACCTTAATAACAGAGCATCTTGGGGATCTATACCTGAAAATGTTCATAACAAAAGAGACTCACATGGACATGACAAATCTCAAATGATATTGATATCTGCCCTAATTTTGCCAACCATATTTTCCTTGATGACTCCCTCCAAAATAGACAGTAGTAGCAGACACATGTTGGGGACTGTGTGTGAGGAGTGCCCTGTTACATAACTCCAGCTGCTTTTGCATTTGGGTCCTAGTGACTCATTCTTTCTCCATAAGAGATTACATCCCCATGAAACAGCAGCGGGCAACAGATTTCACCTAGCTTTTCAATATCTCATCACATTGGGCAGAAGTGATCGTTGATTATGGTTTCATTGTGGTTATGTTATTATTTCCACCTGTATTGAAGGTGGATTTATCTATTATTTCATCATAGTTTGTAGGACCAATAAGAGCCATGTTCAAAGCAGTTAAGGAGAAATTCATATCACCAGAGTTCCTGGAGTTGGAGGTTTTTATAATTTGGGATTTTCTCATTTTAGAATGGGACAAATGAAGCTTCAGTTGTATAAGAACTACATATATTATACTAAAAGGGAGCATCTTCTGAATTTTTTAATATGAAAAGGAACAGAGAGAAACAGAGAGAGAGAGAAAGAGGGAGAGAGACTTCATATATAAGAGCCTTGTATAATAGATTATGATAGTTATTATTTTTATTGCCACTACTATTATGACCTATCCAGCCTTGGTCTTTTTCCATCTTTGTTTAGGAAAAAGAAAATCTGTATTCCTGACACAGAAGTGGGTTCAAATATAAGGCCTGGTTAATCAGAGTCCCACATCCCATGGCTAAAGTGATTGGTTGAGAAACTGGAATGCCACTCAAGCTAAGCTTTCGTCAGATTATCAAAATGGAGCTGACATGTTTGATCTGTTGCTATTCAGACGATGAGCTGAAAATATGAGATGTCCATCTTCATAGCCATGTAGGAAATGTTTGACTTCCATAGGAGAAAATAAGGGTAATCAATAGGAAAAAAGCCGAACTCAAAGAGACCTACACAGAGAACACAAGCAAGAGACAAAGAAATACATACACACAAAGAGAAACAAAGACTGAAAGATGCAGGGAAATAAACAACATAAACATAAAATATAGACAAAGAAAAAGACAATGGACAGATGGAATGACAGAGAAAAAATGGCAGTGAGGCACACAGGCCAGTAGAGAGATGGAAGGGGGGAAAAGAGGTGGACAGAGAGACAACCCAAGAGGCAGATAATAAATTATATATATACACACACATATATATGTAAGAGAGAGTCACAGAGAGAAAAAGAAACAGCGATTCAGAGAAATGGATATAAGGGGAAATGCAAATCGAAGAAAGACAGAAAAGCTATCAAATATATTAATGGGGAGGAGGTCTTTCAGACAGAGATAGAAAAGAGATTTGAAGAGAAAGGAAGAGAAAAACAGTCAGAGAGAAATATAGAGTAGAATGAAACAGAAGTGCACAGACAGAAGGGAATGAGGGCAGAAGGGGGAGAGAAGGGTCAGAGAGAGAGAGGGAGGGAAATGAAAGAGAAGAGAGAAAAAGGTCCCATTTGTGTCCAGTATCTAAGCATTTTTCAGAAGCTAAATTCACCTAGAAACTTTGATTGCATGAGCCCCAAAATTAATTTTTCCCCTTAAGATGGTCTAACAGAGTTTCCATTATAAGCAACCAAAATACTACTTTCTAATAAAACCTCCATTGGTAATTATACAATTGGGTAGGTTGGATGGAATCAACAATCATTGTCTTTTGCCCTGAAGAACACGGTGTACTCACCAGAAGATATTTGTGGTGCCGTTTGGTTAAGTTATGGCATTAGGTACCATGACTGGTGCAAAACAATTCTACTTGCACAAATAAGTGAAACTAATCAGACTATTGCAGAAGCCAGGAAAGACTGCTGCACACAATCCCAACTTCCAAGCCCCACTGATGATGGAAAATTAAATTTATTTCATATCTCATTTCACATTCTTATGTAGCACCTGACTTAGACCAAGTATGGGGACTCATGATTTTTGAGTGTCCTTGCCTGGACATTGTCTTCTTTGGGGGTCATAACTGAACTAAAGTTCTAGAATCTGATCCCTTTCTTAGCTCAATGTTTCCCACCAACACCACTACCCTACTCAATCAGAATTAGAAACACAAGTGACTCACAAATCTATTTAATTTTGAAAAACTATTGAATTATAAGAAGTTTGACATTTAGTTCATGATCAGTCTTCAGAAACAGAAGAAGGTAGTAAAAGCTTATGAAAGTACTTATGATCCAAACAGGGACAGCAGACAGCAGAGAGCAGAGCTCTCATTATCATGGTAGTGAGCAAACATTTAGGAAATTTCTTGCAGGCAGGAATTTAGGAAAGACAAGAACAAGCAACAACCTGGCAGCCACTTCTCAGTCACCATGGGAGTCATGTCCTGATGGGTGACACAGCTGGCAGAAATGGCCTGCTCACAGGCCTGACAGAAGAGGAGCTGGGAATTACAGACAAGAGTAAAGCCAAGACAAGACAAGAAAGAGGTGACAGATCCCAGAAAGAAAAATGTTTGCAGTCAATGCGTGAGCCCTCTAAGAGACAGAAGAAACAATCACATGTCACACCAACCCCTGAAGAAACACAGTCCCTCCCTCCCTTGGGGCCTCTCTGCAGTTGTCAGGACACTAAGGTTGAGCTTATGTCAACACCTGCTCCTCGTTACCTTTCCTGGTAACTGAGTAGAGATGGCAACAGGAATGCCTCTTTTTATTGTGCTATGCTTTGTTGTGCTTCTCAAATATTGTGGTTTTTTAAAAATTGAAGGGTTGCACCAAGCAAGTCTATCAGCACCATTTCACCAACAGCATGTCCTCACTTTGTGTCTCTGTGTCATATGTTCGTAATTCTTGTAATATTTCACGTTTTCATTACTATTACATGCCGATCTGTGATCAGTGACGTTTGATGTTACTGTTGTAATTGTTTTGGGGCACCATGAACTGAACCCATATAAGACAATCAACTTTATTGTTAGATGTTGTGTATGTTCAGACTGCCCCACTGACCAGCCATCCTCTCTCTCTTTCGCCCTCTCCTCAGGCCTCCCTATTCCCTAAGAACACAAGAACATTAAAATTGGGCCAATTAGTAACCCTACAATGGCCTCTAAGTAAAGTCACTTGTCTCTCACTTTAAATCAAAAGCTAGACATGATTAAGCTTAGTGAAGAAGACAGGTCAAAAGCCAAGATGGGCTAAAATCTAGGTCTCTTGCTTTCAACAATTAGTCAAGTTGTGAAAGCAAAGGAAAAGGTCTTGAAGGAAAGAAATTAAAACTGCTACTCAAGTGAACATACAAATGATAAGAAAGTAAAACAGTCTTATTGCTGATGTGGAAAAAGTTTGAGTGATCTGGATCGATCAAACCAGCCACAACATTCCCTTAAGCCAAAGTCTAATCCAGAGAAAGGCCCTCATTCTCTTTAGTTCTATGAAGGCTGAGAGATGTGAGGAAGCTGCAGGAAAAAAGTCTGAATCTAGCAGAGGTTGATTCATGAGGCTTAAGGAAAAAAGCCACCTTCATAATACCAAAGTACAAGATGATGTAGCAAGTGGTGATATAGAAGCTGTAGCAATTTATCCAGAAGATCTAGCTAAGATCACTGATGAAGGTGGCTATATTAAATCATAGATTTTCAATAGAAATGAAACAGCCTTCTATTGGAAGAAGGTGTCTTCTAGGATTTTCAGAGTTAGAGAGAAGTCAATGCTGGCTTCAAAACTTCAAAGATCAGGCTGACTCTATTGCTAGGGACTAATGCAGCAGGTGGCTTTAAATTGAAGCCAGTGCTCATTTACCATTTCAAAAATACTAGGGCCCTTAAGAATTATGCTAAATCTACTCCGCCTGTGCTCTATAAATGAAAAAACGAAGCCTGATAACAGCACACCTGTTTCAAATATAGTTGGCTGAATATTTTAAGCCTATTGTTGGGACCCATTGCCCAGACAAAGGCATTCCTCTCAAAATACTACTACTCATTGACAAGGTACCTAGTCATCCAAGAGCTCTGATGAAGATGTACAAGGAGATGAATGTTGTTTTCATGCCTGCTAATGCAACATCCATTCTGCAACTCATGGATCAAGGGGTAGTTTTAACTTTCAAGTCGTATTATTTAATATATTACATAAGGCTATTGCTGTCAGAGACAGTGATTCCTCGATGGATCTGGGGAAAGCAAATTGAAAACCTTCTGAAAAGCCTTCACCATTCTAGATGTCATTGGGAACATTTATGATTCATGGGAGAAGGTCGAAATATCAACATTAACAGGAGATTGGGAGAAGCTGATTCCAGCCCTCATGGATGACTTTGAGACGTTTAAGACTTCAGTGGAGGAAGGAACTATAGATGTCCTGGAAATAGCAAGAGAACTCGAATTAGAAGTGGAACCGGAAGATGTAACTAAATTGCTGCAATCTTATGATAAAACTTGAATGGATGAGGAACTGCTGCTTGTGGATGAGCAAAGAAAGTGGTTTCTTGAGAGGGAATCTACCCCTGGTGAGATGCTATGAATGTTGTTGAAGTGGCAACAAAGGATTTAGAATATTACATAACTTAGTTGAGAAAGCAGCAGCAGGGTTTGAGAGGATTGACTACAATTTTGAAAGAAGGTCTACTGTGGGTAAAATGCTACCAAACATCATCACATGCTACAAAAAAATATTTCATGAAAGGAAGAGTCAATCTATGCAGCAAACTTCATTGTTCTTTCATTTTAAGAAATTATCACAGCCACCTCAAACTGCAGCAGCAGCCATCAACATCAAGGAAAGAACCTTCTATCAGCAAAAAGATCATAACTCACTAAAGGCTCAGAGGATTGTTAGTATTTTTAGCCATAAAATATTTTAATTAAGGTATGCACTTTTTTAGACATAATGCCATTTCACACTTAATAGACTACTATATATTGTAAACATGACTTTTATATGCACTGGGAAACCGAAAGATACGTTTGACTTTCTTGCAGTGCTCTCTGGAACCAAAATCACAATACATCTGAAGTGCACTTTACTCTGTTAAAGTGAACACAAAACATCAGCTTGAAGGGGCCTGTGGAAGGCAGAAGAGGATGTCGAAATTCTTTGGTGATGCACAGGTCGTGGACTAACTGGAATGGTAACAACTGTAATTCCCTCTCATCTCACCTATCACCAAGTTCAGCAGCACTCTCTGCAATTTGGGGATTTGGGGGCATCATCCAAGCCTCACTGAATGACTGATACCACAGGTTGGGTCTTATTCTGAGGAATAATCCCTGAAGTTTAGAGCAGAGACTTTTCAGAACATTCCAGAATTTTTCCAGAATTTTTTCCAGAATATTCCAGAATTTTGTTTCATGCTACATTCATTCAGGAACAGCAAAATAACTGAAGCATGTTCAGGTGTCCAGAAAAACCCACTCAACTCTTTTTTCCACCTTATGTGTGTCATATTTCTGGGCAAGGAGAGCAGGGATCTTACCTGTGAGTGGAGCCCTGTCTATTTAAGAATAACCCTCCACCACTCCCTTCTGTAATGATGCAGACATGACCCAGGCCAGGGAGCTCCTAATTTCTGTGATCTATTTCCATCCCCACCTTAGCTGCCTTTCCATTACAGAGTCAGACAGGACGAGTTACAACAAAAAGCCTCAGTCCCAGCACTAGTCTCTCCATCTTCTTCAAAGGTGCCTTACCTTTCTTATTCCAAAAATGGCTGGGCCACAAGGCCCAAACCAAGAGAGATCAGCCCCAGCACAAGACCCCGAAGGCCACTCAGCATCTTGCTCTGGGCAGATTCAGACAGTGTCCCTGGGAAGTGAAAGCCTGTGTGTCAGAGCCTGTCCCCACACCCCACAGTGTCCTCATCTGGAAGCCTGGAGTCCTATCCAGGATGTAAGAGACAGAGGTAGTCTGTCACCAAGCAAAGGAGATGACAGGCAGGCAAAGACCCCAAGGGGCAGCATGGATGGATGAGGAGGAGGGGGAAAAGGAGATGACAACTCCTCAAGGATATGTCCTTCTATAACCCCACAGACCATCTCCAAGACATCAGCCCTAAGGTCAAAACCTAGAACTATAACACCTCAGAAGGCACACCGACAAGGCTGACCTGTAGTCTGGGAGTCAGGTGATGCAAAGGGCCCACCATAATAAACTGGGAGAAAAGGAGGTCAGTTCTCAGCAAGTGCATTTTGACTTGAGACAATGGGATCTCAGTCTTCCATGACTACTAGTCCAGAAATTATATCGGGATACAGTTGTGTAGGAGAGAAGGTATGAAAATGTATAACAAGCAGAGGTTAGTAGTGACCTCACCCCCACAAGACCCAGACCCCCCCCACCCTTCCTTTTTTCCATTGAATTTATGATATCAATAAAGTGCTCCTTACATCATTCTACTGTGATGGGGCTCTGGAGGCTGGGGTGCTCCAGATGGTAGGTGTAGACATCTCCACGCTCGGGTATTATTTTCTAGCATTACAAGAATCTGGTAGGTCTAATCCCTATTCTGAATAGGTGTGGATACAACTCCAGCAGTCTGCTTCTGTTTTTTCTGGAACCATCTGAGTTTCACTTGGCAAGGAAAGAAATTTGTCACCAAACAGACCAGCAAATTGTGATGGCTGACCTATGTCTTAGCTGGGGAGATGGTCACTGCAGGCTCCACTAAGAGGAATGACAACAGGAAAAGAAACTTAGAGGGTAAGGCAGCAAAGAAATCCTCATCATGGGCTCACATCCCTCCTTTGATACTAAAGTGGAAAAGATAGCAGATATTAATTAGTCTTCTACTCCAATCCCAGATCTAGGTTTTAATTAGCTAACTAGTTAGCCTACTCTTTAGAAAAGCAATACGTTTATTCAGTGGTCACTTGTTTATTAAACCAGATCATTCATGTGAAAGCTCTTTGTAACATAGACTGATAATATTTCAAATACTCGTATATACATATATGTGTAGGTATATGTACTTGCCTTCTTATGTCTGGTAAAAATAATAATTAAAAAAGATCTGACAATGTGTAACTATGTGTGATTTCTTACAAAACAAAGATCTTCATGTTTAAGTAAATCTTTAGCTCCATTATTCACAGGTTTTAGGGAAAACTGGCTAGCCATATGCAGAAAACTGAAACTGGACCCCTTCCTTACACCTCATACAAAAAATTTTTGACTTTTCTATTTCTCCTTTCATTTCTATCGGCTTTTGTCTCATGTATTTCGATGCTCTGTTGTTAGGTGCATACACACTTAAGATTGTTATGTGTCTTTGGAGCAATAACCCCTTATCATTAAATAATATCCCTCTTTATCCCTGGTAATATTCCTTGTTCTGACATCTACTTTGTCTAGTATTGACATAATTATCTCATTGTGGTTTTGATTTGCATTTCTCTAATGACCAGTGATGATGAGCTTTTTTTCATATGTTTGTTAGCCACATAAATGTCTTCCTTTTGAGAAGTGTCTGTTCATATATTTTCACCACTGTTTGATGGGGTTGTTTTTTTTCTTGTAAATTTGTTTAAATTCCTTGTAGATTCTGGATATTAGCCCTTTGTCAAATTGATAGATTGCAAAATTTTTCTCCCATTCTGTAGGTTGCCTATTCACTCTGATGATAGTTTCTTTTGCTGTGCAGAAGCTCTTTAGTCTAATTAGATCCCATTTGTCAATTTTGGCATCTGTTGCCATTGTTTTTGATGTTTTAATCATAAAGTCTTTGCCCATGCCTATATCCTGACTGGTATTGCCTAGGTTTTCTTCTAGGGTTTTTATGGTTTTAGGTTTTATGTGTAAGTCTTTAATCCATCTTGAGTTAATTTTTGGATGAGGAGGAGGAGAAAAAGGGGCGGCAACTCCTCAGGAGTATGTCTTTCTATAACCCCACAGACCACCTCCAAGACATCAGCCCTAAGGTCAAAGCCCAGAACTTCAACACATCAGAAGGCACACCGACAAGTCTGACCTGCAGCCTGGGAGTCAGGTGATGCAAAGGGGTCACCATAAAAACCTGGGAGAAAAGGAAGTCAGTTCTCAGTAAGTCCTTTTGACTTAAGAAAGTGGTCCAATTTCAGTTTCTGCATATGGCTAGCCAGTTTTCCCAACACCATTTATTAAATAGGGAATCCTTTCCCCATTGCTTGTTTTTGTCAGGTTTGTCAAATATCAGATGGTTGTAGATGTGTGGTGTTACTTCTGGGGCCTCTGTTATGTTCCATTGGTCTATATATCTGTTTTGGTGCCAGTACCATGCTGCTTTGGTTATTGCAGCCTTCTAATATAGTTCAAAGTCAGATAACGTGATGCCTCCAGATTTGTTATTTTTGCTTAGGATTGTCTTGGCTATACGGGCTCTTTTTTGGTTCCATGTGAAATTTAACGTAGTTTTTTCTAATTCTGTGAAGAAAGTCAATGGTAGCTTGATGAGGATAGCATTGAATCTGTAAATTACTTTGGCCAGTGTGGCCATTATCACAATACTGATTTTTCCTATCCATGAGCATGGAATATTTTTCCATTTGTTTGTGTGCTCTCTTATTTCCTTGAGCAGTGGTTTGTAGTTACCCTTGAAGAGGTCCTTCACATCCCTTGTAAGTTGTATTCCTAGGTATTTTATTCTCTTTGTAGCAATTATAAATGGGAGTTCACTCATGATTTGGTTCTTTGTTTGTCTGTTATTGGTATATAAGAATGCTTGTGCTTTTTGCACATTGATTTTGTATTCTGAGACTTTGCTGAAATTGCTTGTCAGCTTAAGGAGATTTTGGGCTGAGATGATGGGGTTTTTTAAATATACAATCTCTTGCCAGTCAGAATGGTGATCATTAAAAAGTCAGGAAACAACAGATGCTGGAGAGGATGTGGAGAAGTAGGAACGCTGTACACTGTTGGTGGGGGTGTAAATTAGTCCAACCATTGTGGAAGACAGTGTGGCGATTCTTCAAGGATATAGAACCAGAAATATCATTTGACCCAGCAATTCCATTTTGGTCATATACCCAAAGGATTATAAATCATTCTACTATAAAGATACATGCACATGTATGTTTATTGCAGCACTGTTCACAATAGAAAAGACTTGGAACCAACCCGAATGCCCATCAATGATAGATTGGATTAAGAAAATGTGGCACATATACACCATGGAATACTATGCAGCCATAAAAGAGAATGAGTTCATGTCCTTTGCAGGGAAATGAATGAAGCTGGAAATGATCATTCTCAGCAAACTATCACAGGAACAGAAAACCAAACACCATATGTTCTCACTCATAAGTGGGAGTTGAACAATGAGAACACGTGGACACAGGGAGGAGAACATCAAGAAAAAAACACAGAATATTATAACACTGCAACTGTGGTGTGTAAACTACTCTTATTCTAAGTAGTAAGACTACGTGATGAACCAATAAAAAATAATAACTACAACAAGTTTTCAAGACATAGTACAATAAGATATAAATAGAAACAACAAAAAGTTAAAAAGTGGGGAGATGAAGTTAAGGCAAGTTTTTATTAATTTTCTTTTGATTTTGTTTGCATGGTATACAGTTTCATTCATTTTACTTTTAAGGTAGGTATGCCTTTATATTTAAAATGGGTTTCTTGTAGACAGATTATAGTTCAATTGTGCCATTTTTGCTGTCTGATCTTCTTTATCATTTAATTGGTGTGTCTAGGCCAATTATATCTATGAAATTATCAACATGGTTGGATTATTTTTGCTAGATATTTTTTATTAATTCTATTAAACGTTTGTTCATTTTCAAAATTGTTTATCTGCCTTCTTTTGGATTAGTTTTTGCCCTAGGATTTTACATTTATGTATAATATACTTTCAAATATACCTTAGCTCAGTATGCTCCAAATTTCTCTCTCTCTCATTCATTGTGCAATTGTTATCATGTATTATATTTTTTTATATTCCATAAACACACAATATATTGCTACTAATTTTGCTCTAGACCCTCTGTTACCTATAAGGTAACCGTGCAAAGACAATTCCGTTTGTTATTTAATATCATCCCCACCAATTCTTTGTCAGTAACAACTCCTGTATGAATGAACTAGTTGCTTTAAACAGCTCTCTTAAATAAACTACACAATAACAAAAAAATAGTATGGGGAAAATACTGCTCCCTAATAGTCTTCTGTGGGAAAACACGCAAAATTACTCCCATGTGCAGATCTGCTTTCACCATAGCCCCAGGTTACTCTTCAGCTAAACAGAATAGTTATTTGATAAAGACTTTGTGCAGAGACTATAGTATGTAATCAATAAATACTTGTTGAGTTGAACTGAAATTCTTAATTCATCTGAATCAGGTTGTAGAACTGACTACTGGGAAACAGATAATATTCCTCACGCCTAATAGCGATTGATTCTTTTCCTAGGAGCTCTCCAATCCTAATGTACATATTGGAACGTTCTTTGAATAGATCTTTTCATTTATTTATTTTTAGAGACGGGGTCTTGCTACTGAGACAGCCAGGTGGGAAGGGGTCCCCAGATAAATTCCAGCCAGCCTGAGCACTGGGAGGAGTGCAAACTGGGATGGAGCCACAGAAGTTTGCACCATTTGCGGCAGGGAGGAGAGTGACCCCTCTTCTTTGGGTGGAACGTGGAATTCAATCTGTGAGGTGGGAAGCCCACTGGCAGAAAAAAATGCATTCTCTCACTTTGCTAAGAGCCTCTGTTTCCCCTTTTCTTCCTTTTCACCCAATACTCAACCTTCAAGTTGTCCTACTCACCCTTCAAGTTGTCTGTGAACGTAATTTATTGTGGCTGTGTGGCAAGGACGCTGTCATTAGCTGAACTAAGGAAAAGTCCTGTAACACTATGTTTCCCAGGCTGGCCTCAAACTCCTTGGCTCAAGTGATCTTCCTACCTCAGTCACCTGAATTGCTGGGAGTATAGGCACACACCTCCACAGTCAGCTGTACAGTTATTTTTACTTAGCATTAGTGATTTTAAAATGACAAATAATTTTAAATGGAAACTTTAAAAGCAAGTGTTTATATGAAATTATTCATATGTATTTACCAAAGGTCATCATGTATATGTAAAGCATTTTACCTAGAAATTTTAAGTTGTGATTTTGCCAGAACATTAAAAACAGAAATAATAACACAAGAATAATTCAAATGTTTTAATAACTGACAACTTTAGGGAAAAATGAATCCAGATATGTGTGATGTTTGGGGATTTTGAAAAATACCTCAAACAAAAGAAATATTTTATAAATTATTTACAATGATACAAGTTGAGTAAAAATTATTCTTGCTATAGTATTTCTCTAAAAGTATCCCATTGACTAAAGAAGATTGGCAAGGACAATCTTGCACCTGAGAGATGGTGGAGCTTGAAAGGCTTACAATGGGCACTAAAGAGAGAAGATGGGGGCAGGGGAATGCTTCCACTCTCATTTGTCCTCCTCTCCGCGCCTATGCACTTGAGATAGTCATGCATTCATTATTATCTTTGAGTCGTGGGAATATTGGTGTCCATGGGATTTTTGCACCATAAGAAATGTAAAAGGAAGACCTTCACATGGTAGCCATATGATATCACATAGAAACCTGGATCTATACAAAGAAATAAACGCTGGAAATGAAACATTTTTTCACATTTAAAAAATGGTCTAAAATGAGGCTTCTCAACCTCAGAACTGTTGGCATTTTGTTTCAGGTGATTATTTTCTTGTAGGAGGCTGCCATGTGCATTGCAGGATGTGTAACAGCACCCCTGGCCTCTACCCAATACCTGCCAGTAGCACCCTCCCCAGTAATGACAACAAAAGTATCTCCAGACATTGTCAAACATCACTTGCAGGAATTTTCTATTGGCCTCATTTTAGAATGTCTGTCTTACAGAATCATACGAAGATACTAAATCATTGTTGGAAGTCATTAAGTTTTGGAATAGTTTGTTACATAGAAAAATCTGACAGATACAACAGTCTTCAAAGAAATTCTTTTTCCTAGAAATCTCTTAGTGTTTCTGTGGCTCACAGGCTCCTATATGCCTGGAGTGCCACAGGGAGAAGCTTAAATGAATGAAGAAAAAGTAATAGTCTGTCCCAGCCCAATGTGTGATGTTACTATCATTATCATTATTAATATTTGTCTTTATATAGCAGCTCCCACTTGGGAATAGTTGCTAGGTGCCAGACACTGGCCTGTATTTAACTGTATAATTTGTACTTATCTATCGTTTCATGATATTAATTATCTTCTAATAGTTTTCATCCCACATTATAGAAAATAACCCTAAGGCTCAGGTATTCTGAGTGGCTTGCCCAGGGTGATGGAGCTGATAAAATCAAAAGCAGCATGGAATACATTTATTTTATTACAAAATCTATAATATTTTTATTTTGCTATTCTAGACTCTGTTATTTTTGTGAAGCACCTTTAACTACTGCAAGATAGAAGTCTTGGCCTTCAGAGTAAAATTTCATCAATGCATAAAATTAGACCTAAAGTTAGGGTCTTAGAGAATGTTATAACTGCTCCTTAGAACTAACATAATTTCTGCCTAATTTCTTAGAGGGCCCTTAATAATATCAATTGTAATGGCATATCCCATTGTTATTTTAGTTACGAAATCAATGGCATGTCAATTAGTGCTTTCTAAGAAAGTTATTAGACAAAGTAGTATTTTGAGCTCCAAATTTTATTCCCACTATTACTTTATGAAAAGGACTTTTTCTTTTTTCTTTTCTTTTTCTTTTTTTTTTTTTTTGAGACGGAGTCTCGCCCTGTCGCCAGACTGGAGTGCATGGAGTGTAGTGGTGCGATCTCGGCTCACTGCAACCTCCGCCTCCCGCGTTCAAGCGATTCTCCTGCCTCAGCCTCCCGAGTAGTAGCTGGGACTACAGGCGCATGCCACTACACCCAGCTAATTTTTTTTTGTTTTTTGTTTTTTGTTTTGTAGAGATGGGGTTTCACCATGTTGGCCAGGATGGTCTCGATCTCTTGAACTTGTGATTTGCCTGCCTCAGCCTCCCAAAGTACTGAGGACCTTTTCTATTTCTACAAGACAAAATAAGAAATTGGTTTCTGTTAAAATGGTATACTGTTCTTCTGAGTCTAATTTACTGATTATTCTATCTTGCATTAAAATTATGACCTGAAAACAGAAGCAAATAGAACAAGGTTCGCTGTATTCTGGCTGGATGAAGCAGGAGGAGGAGAGGGACACAAAACCAGTTAAAGATAGAAAGAGCATCTATTATCTTTTAGTCAATGACCTGGCCTTGCTTGGACTTTCCCTCCATCCCACAGGATGTGAGATCTGAGACTGAACCCACGACTTCCCTTCTAAGATACAATTCTGATCCCACATTTAACACCCTAACTTCCTAATTAGAGTTGAGTTTTTTAAACTGTGGTATTAATAGGGGAAATTCTGGAGTACTATCAGGAAAGATTTAGTTCATTTGCCAAAATCTTAAGGAATTTCTGTCAGATACAAAGCAGGTAAGTCTGGATACAGGGGAAAAAAGATAGAAATGTGTTATTTACTACACAGCAAAGAGGATGCTGCACGGTGAAGGGAGCAGAGCTCAACTGCAACCTCAAAAACCCTCTTAGTTCAAAATGGCAGTGGCTAGAAAGAGTAATAAGGCCACGTACAGTGTCATATATCTCTCCTAATCGTATTAGGGCACTTACTCTGAATCCACACAGAAGGAGACACCCCTCACCCCTCATGAGGAATCATGGCTTGCCCCTGTAGCAGCCCATCTCTACTACTTACGAGCCATGTGACCCTGGGAAAAGTCCTTTACCTCTCTGAGTTTTAATGTCCTCCTTGAAAAATGTGGATGATACTAAAGTATGACAAGTATTTATAAAGAGTAATTCATTCCAAGTGCAGTATATGTACATTCCTCACAACTGCCTAGTGAGGTACCATCAGTGCCTCCGGCCAAAGACCACGAAGAGCATACCCTTGAATGAACAAGTTGGCTTTATTGTTCGTTGCAATGATGGAGAAAAGTCACCATGGGGAATCATGCAGCAGTTCAGTAAGAGATTGTTGGAACCAAAGAAGTAGAACTAGGAGAACACATATATTAAGAGAATGACTGAAAGGAATTAATTTGTGCAACTGTAGGGGTGGACTAGGCAAGTCTAAGACCCACTGGGAGGTGGTCATCAGGAAAGGCAGGTTGAAATTCTTAGCACTGGCTGACGTGCTGCCCACAGTGGAATTTCCATTTCCTCAGAGAAGCCTCAGCTCTGCTCTTAAGACTTTTCAACTGCTTAGACTAAGCTCACCCAATTTATCTCAGATAAATTCTTACTTAAAGTTAACTGATTATGAACTTTAATGACATCTACAAAATATCTTCACAGCAACACCTAGATTATTAGTGTGTGAATAACTGGGGACCACAGTCCAGTCAACACATAAAATTGACCATTAATCAATTGTAAGATTTGTGCTTGTGTTAGGTAATTTTGAGGAGGAGTTAAGAAAGAGGGACTTCATTTTTAACTGGATTCTGACAGAAAGCAGGGAGTGGGGATTGGCAATGCTATGATTGGGTAGCTTCATAAATACTACCTAGAGGGACGGAAGACTATCCTGAGGCTACGGCTGTGATTGGTAAAGAAGCAGCAATCACTCTTTCGAGAGATGTGCCTGGTTATTTTTGTAGTTTGGACAATATTCATGTTTTGTCTGGGTGCAGACGTGATGACTGAGTGGCCTTATTTTCTGTCTCAATCCATCGCACTCACAGAGTACCTGTCTGATTCTAATGTTCTATGAAATTGATTATCTTCAACAGGAGAATCAAAACCAGCTGTGCACACCAGGCTAGCTCCTAGCAACCCCAAGGCCTTGTTAATTGCATCCAGGCAGCCCCCAGGTATCAGGATACTTTTTTATTTTACCTTTTTTTAGTCTCTGCCATTGGGAGGCAAGACAACATGCTGAGAATCTCAGAAGGCCATTCAACAAGGACAGAGTGATTCTAAATGAAACCTCCATTACTAACTTGTTGTTTCTATAACATACAGAAAATAGATTCATCTGAAAAAAGGTAAGTTTCCCTGTGATTACTACATTTTAGCTCATTCCCTAGTCCCTTGCAATATCTGAAATCTTAATGTGGTTGGATAACAAATATGAAAAGATCCAGTAGTTTAAGAAAAGTAAACCTATTTTCTTTTTTTTTTTTTTTTTTTTTTTTTTTGAGACGGAGTCTCGCTCTGTCGCCCAGGCTGGAGTGCAGTGGCGGGATCTCGGCTCACTGCAAGCTCCGCCTCCCGGGTTCACGTCATTCTCCTGCCTCAGCCTCCCAAGTAGCTGGGACTACAGGCGCCCGCCACTACGCCCGGCTAATTTTTTGTATTTTTAGTAGAGACGGGGTTTCACCTTGTTAGCCAGGATGGTCTCGATCTCCTGACCTCGTGATCCGCCCGCCTCGGCCTCCCAAAGTGCTGGGATTACAGGCGTGAGCCACCGCGCCCGGCCAGTAAACCTATTTTCTAAGTTAAAGCAATTCTCCTTATTCTACTCTCAATATTTGACTTGACATTCTTAAATTAAAAAAAAAAAATTACTGGCTGGGCGCGGTGGCTCACATCTGTAATCTCAGGACTTTGGGAGGCCGAGGCGGGCAGATCACGAGGTCAGGAGATCGAGACCATCCTGGCTCACACGGTGAAACCCCATCTCTACTAAAAATACAAAAAATTAGCTGGGCGCGGTGGCGGGCGCCTGTAGTCCCAGCTACTCGGGAGGCTGAGGCAGGAGAATGGCGTGAACCCAGGAGGCAGAGCTTGCAGTGAGCCGAGATAGCACCACTGCAGTCCGGCCTGGGCCAAAGAGCGAGACTCCGTCTTAAAATAAATAAATAAATAAAATAAAATAAAATAAATTATTAGAGTAATTGAGCCAGCCAAAGCTTTTTTAATGTAATCAATGTCCCTAAATTTCCTTTAAATATATTCAAGCAGCACCGAAACACAGAGCATAAAGATTACTAGAAGCAAAAGAAAAAACTGTAAAAGATCGGTTACTGTAGGCAGCACCGCATGACAGTCTAACCCCTTTAATTGCCCTGGTCAAAAACACCTGGAGCTTTTGAGAACTTACCCAACTGGATTTATACAAGTAGAAAAGGCAAAGGTATTGCTTGGCTACCACCAGCAGAGATCCCTAGGAAGGTGGGGTCAAGTCAAAATTTGGGGAATACCATATACACTATGGAAGCAAAAAGAAAAACAGCTAACCCACATACAGAAGCCAGAGAAAGGGGAGGGGATGGGGACTGCCAGGGAGGAAAATCACTTCAGGGAAGAATTCCTGGAGAATGTAACCCAGAAAACCCTGAAGGATGCCATATTATTGATGACCTTACCTATCCAAGCGGCTGCTCAGAAATTCCCGCCCCTCTTGACACTAGCAGACATGCACACATGACAGAAGATTCAGATTTAGTATCTTCCCTTTATTTATAGAAAATTTCCTCAAGACCATGCTGTGTGGAGGATGTGTCAGAACCAGAGGATGTCCCTGTCTTCTTCCAGGGCTCTTAATATAAACTCTGCAACTGGCAAACAATATGTCACCATAGGGGATTTTTCTGATTGGCCAAAACCTGACCTGGCAGGGTTTGGTTTGGGTGTCTTCAGATTTGCTTGTCTCGAGGTCCTCACAATTGCTCTACAGCTCAGAGCAGCAACTGCTGAGCCTGCCTTGGGAAGAAGATGATCCTAAACAAAGCTCTGCTGCTGGGGGCCCTCGCCCTGACTGCCGTGATGAGCCCCTGTGGAGGTGAAGACATTGTGGGTGAGTGCATGAGTGAGGAATGTTCTCTGGAGCTGAAAAACAGTAAATTAAAGGAAAAGAAAGAGTGCAATTTGCTAAGAAATAGTAGAAATTTCCCAAGGGTCTTTTCAATATTAAGAAATTTTAAAATTATGGCAGTTCCTCCTTTAGGAAACCAGAGCTCCAACCGACTCTCTTTGCTACCTGTGCTATTGGAGTTTACCAAGGACGTTGTTCTGTTTATATTATATCCAGAGACTATAGCCTGGAGGTCTGTGTGGCATTCCATCATGATTGCCTCAAAGACTAGGGATGTTTCCATGAATGGAGTATTTTTTTGTTATTAAAAATTTCTGAACTGTTACTCCCAAATTTCTCTGAACAACTTTTGAAGCTTTTCATATGCCTCCTATAGCATATGTTGGGGTAGATAGTTCCATGAAGTATGTACACTCTATAGATATAAAGAAAGAGGTTCTTTTCTTTCTCTCAGACTTACATTTCCACATGGGAATTGGCACAGGTGGGGAGTAGGTGAAAGAGCCCAGCAGGCTGAATGCCTTCAACAATCATTTTACCACGTGGTAAATGTGGTACTTACTCTCTGCTACCTCATATATGTCACCTCGCTTATGATCAAATAAAATGGGCATGTAGATATGCTTTATGAATAGTAAAAACACTAATGTCAACTTTTTTTAACTTATTTCTATTACAGGTATAACTTCTTATTTTTTCTTTAGCAAAGTAAGGAATATATTTTAAAACTGAGAACTTTATGATAAAATGCTTGGTAAATTAAATTATTTTATTCTCAAATTGTCAACCCAAATTACTTGTTCTTCACCTTATCTAATGAAGTCTTATAAAGAGAAAAATGGGCAGGCACAGATAATTATTTGGTCCCTTAGTCCCCTCTGCCTTTGTCGTCCATCTCTTCCCACCTCTCTTCATGCATCCCTTTCTCCCTCTTCCCTTTCAGGATCCATCTCTGACTCCCTGCTCCTTTACAGACATGGGCAGTGGGTTTGTAAAACAAAAGTTGGAAAGTCAAATAGTTAAAAGGGGAAGTGAACTGGAAGCTACTCGAAACTTCCACAACCTTATTAACCATAGCTGCTCCCATTCTGATTTTGTTTGGCAGTGGAAGTTTCACCTGCTTCTCCAGAGCACTTGGCTTTTTTGTTTCAAATTTCCTTTCTTCAACCTCACACCAGAGTGCCCCGGTCAGGCTCGACTTATCCATTAGGAACAGTGTGGGCAGTGAAGGGGACCCTCCAAACTGTAAAGCTACAAGAGAACGTTTTAACTCCTTTTAAAATTAGAAGAAAAATGAAGTTTTACAGTCTATGAAAATGTTTTAACTTTTTTTTTTTTTTTTGACGGAGTCTCGCTCTGTCGCCCAGGCTGGAGTGCAGTGGCACGATCTCCGCTCACTGCAAGCTCCGCCTCCCAGGTTCACGCCATTCTCCTGCCTCAGCCTCCCGAGTAGCTGGGACTACAGGCGCCCGCCACTGTGCACGGCTAATTTTTTGTATTTTTAGTAGAGACGGGGTTTCACCGTGTTAGCCAGGATGGTCTCGATCTCCTGACCTCATGATCCGCCCGTCTCAACCTCCCAAAGTGCTGGGATTACAGGCGTGATCCACCGCGCCCGGCCTTAACTTTTAATGTAGCCTGGATTGTATTTGTCTTTATACCAATACAATCAGAAGCTGTAATTTTCCGTATTTTTATGGAGGAAGGCGCCCACAAAAGCAACAGTGCTTGGGGCTCACAAGTCAGAATTCAGCCCTGGGCATCCCTGATCCTGGGCTTTGCGTGGTTCTGCTACCTGGGTGCCTGTCAGTCTTCCCCAAAATCTATGTAATTGTCAAAAATTGCAATTGTCATTCAATACACATGTTTGAGCACACAATGAGCTAACTTTTGGGAATTCAAAGATAAAAAATCATGCTGTCTGCCTTGCAGAGGGTGCACAAACCAGTGATGGAAACAGTATGGGGCACAGGAAAGCAGAAGGCCCTGCTGAGCAGGACACTGGCCCAGCAGAGGCTGAAACTATAAAAATGACTTGGTTCCAGCTGGGCCAGTAGAGTGATGTCCTCCAGCAACACTTAGCACCCAGGACAAGTACCAGATGAAAAGAAGGATTGCATGTATTCCACATATATTCATGTTTGAACAAGGAGTCAAAGTTTATTGTAAGGATAAGGAGTCTTTGTTGGTGGCCTGTTAAGTAACCAACCAGGGCAGTCATGCTGGGTAGGGAAGAAGGTGAGCTGGAGGAGGAAAAGACAAACTTGGAGAGCCAGACATTGAGATTCCATTGAGGCGTTGGAGGTCACAACGCGGTCAAAAACATGTTGAGAGGACTTAGCTGCAAAGTTGTTAACTAAGTAGAAACCTCAAGGATGAATTTTAGGATTTCTCCAGGAAATCCTAAAAGATAACTTCTTTCAGGGAGAAAAAACAGACCCTTGCAAAGACATGAAAGGAAATGTAGTTTGGTTTGATTGGCAGATAGTTGTGAAGAATGTCGGACTGTAAGGCTGTCGATATCCTCCTCACAGAATTCCCCAAAGTACATTGTATTTGCTCCCTTACCGACCTGATTCTCCCACTATTCAGTTCATTCCTTGATGCTGTTTTAAGCAACCCCTGCTCTGTCTGACACTTTTGGATGCTCAGTAAATGAGGAAGGAAGGAAGGAAAGATAAAATGGTACAGGGCTCACACATGTCTTAACAAAAATGTCCAGTTCGGCTCATTTGGCTATACTTCATGGCTGCTGCTCTGCCCTGGCATCCTCGGATAAGCTCGCTGCCCATTAGAGGAAAAAGGGTTTAATTTACCTGAGTCCTCGAGTGAATGTAATTGTTGAATCAGAACACTATAGATATTTAGTAACCTCCTTCAGAGGAAAAAAAAAAGTGGGGGCAATGACAGAAATTAAAAAACCAGTTGAGCTTCCACTTTTCATTTCAGAAGAAATCAGGTGCTCTCCTCTAAGGACCACTACTATTAACAAAACAGAGACCTTAGAAGAATTGTTTATTTGTTATAAATGTATAATGTTGCTATTCTTGTAATAGTCTTTCTTGTACCCTATAATTGTTAGAAGAAATTATTTTAAGTTAATACGTTCCTACATGCTTTTCTTTGGTTTAAAAAAAAAAAAAAAAGGAAACTCTGTGTAGAAAGTGTCCTGTTCTGATCTAGTCCTGACAGGAAACGAAGTATAATCAACTTGTTATTAACTGAGAGAGAAAACTTAGGAAGCAGAGGGAAATAAACTGAATCTCTGAGTAAGAAAACTAAATCCTATGATAACTCATTCATTCCTTCCTTTGTTTATTGCAATATTCATCATAAGCTTATGATGTGCCAGGCACTAAGTAGGCACTCAGGAAATAACAGACGTGTGACGTTCTGCCTTTGTGGAGCATATGTTATAGTGAGAAAGACAGAATCAGTTCTAACCTGATGACTACCAACGTTAGGCAAGGAGGAAGCAGGTGTTAGGAAGATTGTTCAGGGACTGTGCCAAAGATGAAGCCCATAATATTTGAAAGTGAGTTTCTTCAATCACTTTCTGTATTAAGGTTCTTTCTCCCTGTGTTCCACCCTCCTGCTTGTCACCTTCACTCGTCAGCTGACCATGTTGCCTCCTATGGTGTGAACTTCTACCAGTCTCACGGTCCCTCTGGCCAGTACACCCATGAATTTGATGGAGACGAGGAGTTCTATGTGGACCTGGAGACGAAAGAGACTGTCTGGCAGTTGCCTATGTTTAGCAAATTTATAAGTTTTGACCCGCAGAGTGCACTGAGAAATATGGCTGTGGGAAAACACACCTTGGAATTCATGATGAGACAGTCCAACTCTACCGCTGCCACCAATGGTATGTGTCCACCATTCCGCCTCTCTTTACTGAAACTAATCTTTCATACCAAGTTTTACTCCCTTCTTCTCAAGAGATTTCCAGATCTTCTCATGGTAATTGCTGAAATTTTATCATCTCCCATCTCTAAAATCACATATTCCCATGTAATACAAGGGTCTTTCCATTATGTATTAATTCCTACTTTATTAAACATGCCCACAGAGAGAAGGGCACAGGAATAAAGCAGAGGCAATGTGTCGTTGCTCCCAAGCAGAAGGTAAATAAGACCTCTTTGACTATCAGGTGGTGAAATGCTGGTAGGAGGGCTCTTCCAGGATGTAATGCAGAAGCTCATGGCAGAGCTATTCACACTTCACATCAGTGCTGTTTCCTCACCACAGAGGTTCCTGAGGTCACAGTGTTTTCCAAGTTTCCTGTGACGCTGGGTCAGCCCAACACCCTCATCTGTCTTGTGGACAACATCTTTCCTCCTGTGGTCAACATCACCTGGCTGAGCAATGGGCACTCAGTCACAGAAGGTGTTTCTGAGACCAGCTTCCTCTCCAAGAGTGATCATTCCTTCTTCAAGATCAGTTACCTCACCTTCCTCCCTTCTGCTGATGAGATTTATGACTGCAAGGTGGAGCACTGGGGCCTGGACGAGCCTCTTCTGAAACACTGGGGTAAGGATGAGTTCCACTACTTCATGGGTTTCTAATAATAGACTTCACTCTTCTCCCTAAGCCTGGGGCCTTGAGTCTTGCAGAGCCAGCCCTCCACCCCATCCCATCCCACACACATGCACATGAGCACACTGCACATTCTGACCTCAACAGCTCCACTTTCACAGAGCCTGAGATTCCAGCCCCTATGTCAGAGCTCACAGAGACTTTGGTCTGCGCCCTGGGGTTGTCTGTGGGCCTCATGGGCATTGTGGTGGGCACTGTCTTCATCATCCAAGGCCTGCGTTCAGTTGGTGCTTCCAGACACCAAGGGCTCTTATGAATCCCATCCTGAAAAGGAAGGTAAGATTGAGATTTGTTGGAGCTGAAACCTCAGTATGAGAGGGAGGAAAGTGGGAGGGGGTTGTGGACATGAATGTGGTTGAAAGTTGTAGGCGAATTGGGAAGTGGCATGATGATCACACAGGAGGCCCCTCAGACCCATCGATCTCATGTCTGTCCTGTTGCAGGTGCATCACCATCTACAGGAGAAGAAGAATGGACTTGCTAAATGACCTAGCACTATTCTCTGGCCTGATTTATCATATCCCTTTTCTCCTCCAAATGTTTCTTCTCTCACCTCTTCTCTGGGACTTAAGGTGCTATATTCCCTCAGAGCTCACAAATGCCTTTCAATTCTTTCCCTGACCTCCTTTCCTGAATTTTTTTATTTTCTCAAATGTTACCTACTAAGGGATGCCTGGGTAAGCCACTCAGCTACCTAATTCCTCAATGACCTTTATCTAAAATCTCCATGGAAGCAATAAATTCCCTTTTGATGCCTCTATTGAATTTTTCCCATCTTTCATCTCAGGGCTGACTGAGAGCATAACTTAGAATGGGCGACTCTTATGTTTTAGGCCAATTTCATATCATTCCCCAGATCATATTTCAAGTCCAGTAACACAGGAGCAACCAAGTACAGTGTATCCTGATAATTTGTTGATTTCTTAACTGGTGTTAATATTTCTTTCTTCCTTTTGTTCCTACCCTTGGCCACTGCCAGCCACCCCTCAATTCAGGTACCAACGAACCCTCTGCCCTTGGCTCAGAATGGTTATAGCAGAAATACAAAAAAAAAAAAAAAAGTCTGTACTAATTTCAATATGGCTCTTAAAAGGAATGACAGAGAAATAGGATACAAGAATTTTGAATCTCAAAAGTTATCAAAAGTAAAAAATTTTGTTACCAAAAGTCAAACTGCATTCTCAAAACTTTAAATTTGTGAAGAATGACAACAGTAGAAGCTTTCCTCTCCCCTTCTCACCTTGAGGAGATAAAAATTCTCTAGGCAGGAAAAGAAATGGAAGCCAGTTAGAAAAACATTGAAATAAGGCCAGGCACGGTGGCTCACACCTATAATCCCAACACTTTGGGAGGCCAAAGTGGGCAGATCACTTGTGGTCAGGACTTCGAGACCAGCCTGGCCAACGTGGTTACACCCTGTCTCTACTAAAAATACAAAAATTAGCTGGGCATGGTGCTGGGCACCTGTAATCCCAGCTACTCAGGAGGCTGAAGCAGGAGAATCGCTTGAACCTGGGAGGTGGAGGTTGCAATAAGATTGTGCCACTGCACTCCAGCCTGGGCAACAGAATGAAACTCCATCTCAAAAATAAATAAATACATATAAATAAATTTTTTAAAAAAGAAAAATATTAAAATAAGGCAATAATATAAGGGGGTATCTGAAAAGGAACAAATGCTTGTTCCTTACTTAGGGTTAGTGACAATGGAAAACAGATAGAAGTAGAAGCTACAGACCCATTTAGGGGCCCCAGCCCCCTGCTCCTCCCCCTTCCTGGCTAAGGAAAGCATGAGCCTATGAGAGAGAAATCCTAGGAAGAACAAGACAGTTGAGACAATGTAGCAGCAGTAGTGGGTGCTGTGTCCTACACTGGATTCGTGGTCTCCTAATAGAAAATCTCTCAGAGGAAATGGGTCCACAGGGACCTGAGAGCTCTAAACAGCTATGAAATCTGCCAGGATATTTCTGTCCATGCTATCTGCATCAGTGAGTTTAAAATGTAATAGGAGAAAAAAAAGAGACAAAACGTTAACATAATAATTGATACAGCATAGTTTTGTACAAAGAAACCTAAATCCAAATACTTGACTCAGTATTTTGAAGCTAATATTTTAAACTTTACTGGGTAAAGTATCTGATTGACATTTCTGAACCTTATTTTTCTCATCCACAATGTGGGAGTGATAATATTTTCCTTGCAGAGTTATTGACAGAATTTGAATAATCTTGGTATATAGACAGTGCCTTACACGTAGTATATAAATATATAAGAAAACACTGCAGTTATGTTTATAATGGATTTATTAAAAAGAATGGATCATATTATATGAAAAGTACATTTGTTTTCCTTAGCCCTTTAGTGATTTAGGAGATTCAAGCGTAGACGTAAAAGTGAGTTTCTTTTCATATGTTAACTGGAGGATTTTTTTCTTTCTTGAGAGGCTGAGATTGGGTTGCTAAGAGAACTCTTAGGACAAGAAGTTGTAATATTTGACTTCGGTTTTTAACTCTCTAAGGGGTATATTCCCTCCTTATGTCCCATAAATTTTAAGTCAAGGTGAATTATATGCAACAGCAGTTTATCCATATTTACTTTGGGGAGGAGGTGGGGAGACTCCGGGAGAAAATAATTATAAATGCAGACTGGGAATTAGTAAGTGCAGGGAATCTGAACCAGTGGTGATCATGAAAACGTCCATCACAGAACACAGAGGATTTTTAGGGCAATGAAACTACTCTATTTGATACCACAATGGTGAATAAATATCATTATGCGCTTGCCCAAATCCATAGAATGTACAACACCAAGAATGAACCTTAATATAAACTATGGACTTTGGGTGATAATGATGTGTCAGTGTAAGTTCATAAGTTGTAGCAAATGTACCTCTGTCATGAAGGATGTTACTAGTGGGGGAGGCTATGCATGTGTGGGAACAGAGAGCATATGGGATACATCTATCTGTACTCTACAATTTTTCTGGGAACCTAAAACTTCTCTAAAATAAACTCTATTAAAAAAAAAGAAAAGAAAAGGTCAACAATAATGATCCCAAATATATAAAATTAAAACTGTAGTATAAAAATGGTCACATGAAAATGCATGAATGTGCTAAGAACTTTTCTGCAATAGGATTTAAAATAAATTTTATATAAATTTCAATGATTCATGAGCCAAGAACCCAGCATTCTGGAGGTGTGTGCATTTGTGTGTGTGTGTGTGTGTGTGTGTGTGTGTGTGTGTGTGTAAGGCTTACATTGAATGGCATTATAACCAGAGTCA
Organism: Homo sapiens; assembly: GCF_000001405.40. NCBI lineage: Eukaryota > Metazoa > Chordata > Mammalia > Primates > Hominidae > Homo > Homo sapiens. The sequence goes on from NT_167244.2 coordinate 4,055,562, forward strand.
TACAGAAATACACAAATGCTCCCCTATTTAGAATCCTTCCCCAAGAAATACTGAGGAAAGCAAATATAATGGTAGTTGGATTTTACTGAAAGAATGTATTCAAAAAGTATTTATATAATGTTAAAATAGCATAGCTAAAATTAGTTTTATAAAATAGAGCAAATATATCTTTTTATCAGCTAAAAGTTCAAAGTGAAATCATCATTATTATATTATTATATTATTATTATAAACAGTTATAAATCAGGCTGCATGATTTTAAATTAAATGATTCTTAAAAATTGTTATCTGAATTATTTCAGATTACATACATAAAGTATGACTTCATTAATAGGTAATATCACATTGTTTAAATTTTACAAAATTTCCAGTCACAATGGTTCATGCCTGTAATCTCAGCACAAGGTGAGGGTCCCTTAAAGCCCAGGAGATGGAGACCAGTCTGTAGTCCCAGCTAGTAGGGAGGCTGAGGCAGGAGGATTGCTGCTTGAGCCCAGGAGTTCGAGGCTGCAGTGAGCTAGGACTGACTGCACCACTGCACTCGCTCCAGCCTGGGCAACACAGCGAGACCCCGTCTCTAAAAATAAATAAATAAATGAATAAATAAATAAAAATTACAAAACGTAAAAATCACGTAAAATATTTCAGGTTTGTACTTACCACATACAAACTAGAGATATGAAGAATTAAACATTACAAATAAAGCACTTCACACACAGTCTGGCCCATAGTAAGCAGTTTATAGAAGTTAACAAATTTGTGTTATTGTTATTTTCTGGAGTCCAAGACAAAATCCCATGATGAATGACACCACAAGGATGTAAGCAACAAAATTCAGAATATGAGAAGTTCTACTAGATTAAATAAAAAGATTTCTCCAGCAAACAATTTGCAAAAAAAGTTAAAAATAGAGAAAAGAAAAGCTATACACTTGAAAAAGACTGAAGAAATATAGTAACCAAACGCTGAGCTTTGTCTAGATTCATATTCAAACAAAACATCTGTTAAAAAATTTATATGAGGCAATCAGAAAAATTGACACTGAGTGTATTAAGGAATTATTTATCTCGTTTTAAATGTGTTAGTGGCATTGCTGTTATGTTTCTAAAAAGCCATTATATTTTAGATTTTCATAATAAAAATGTATAAATGAAATATGATACCTAAAAATATCTTCAAAATAATCCAGTATGTGCCTGTATGATAACTGGGTGGGTTTACAAAATTGCTCATGAATTGATTATTGTTAAAGCAAGGCTGTTGATACATGGAATTCTTCTCTGTACTATTGCACACAGTTGAAATTTTCTGTAATACAAAGGTTTTTTTTTTAAATGTATTCAGGAAAGTCCCATAAACATAGGCAGACAAGCATTCTGTTTGAAGTTATGTTAGTTTTTCAGTTTTTCTCATTTTTATCACATTTAGGAAACCCTGTCCAAGGCCTGCCCAAGACTGTAAGAACCTCTCAGGAATGCAACTATAAAGAATGTGTATGCAGGAACTAATAATAACAAAGGAAAGCAAAGTAATGCTTGCTTTATTATTGGCTGGACTAAGCCCCCAGACTTGTTTATATATTCACTAATTCATCAAAAATGCAAAAATGGTCATTGAGTACCAGTGCTACAATAAGTACTCATAGTTTGTTGAATGTTATTAAAATAATGTGAAAACAATTACATTCATTATCTTCATAGAACTTACACTCCAGTGGGAGGAAAATACATATATTACATAATTCCACAAACATAGTTACAAGGTCTGAAACATTTATAAAGAAAAAGAATGAGGTAAAATGAGAGAGTGTTGCACAGGGACCAGGTATGATTTGGGGCAGTTTAGAAGTGGCTTGAAGAAATGTATCTTGAGATGAAATAAGGTGGTATACAGTAGGTAAAGGACAAGGTTGAAGAGGCCAGAGCAAATGTTTGAGAAACTCTTACAATATGAAAGAGAAGATGAGAATAAAATAACATGAAAATTATCACAGATTTAATAGAGAAAGTTCATGTAACAGCAAACAAGTTTAAAGTCATTCTAATTAGAATTCTTGATCTGTAAAAGTAATAATAGAATGCTAAAAACAATTGGAAAATTTAATAGAAAGATTGGAAAATTAAATCAAGAAAATCTCACAGTAATTTAAAAGGCAAAAAAAAAATGTAATATATGGTAGAAAAAATAAGATGGAGAACAGACCAAGGAAGTCAAACATCAAGTGACAAAGCTAGAGAGACCAACAGGGAAGATGAAGGGAGAAAATGATCAGAACAAATAATAAGGGAAAATGTTCCAGATATAAAGGATTTAATTCTTCCATGGAATAGTCTTGTCAGGTATTTAGCAAAATTAACAGACTCACTTCTAAATATCTCATTTTCAAAATTTCAGAACTTCAGGTGTTATAGAAAAGTCATAAAATATTCCAGTGGCGGAAACCAAAATGAAACAAACTGACAACAAAAAAAATACTTCTATTATTAAGATAATGAGAAAGTCCTTGAAGTTCTAAAGGAAAATTATTTTTTATTAATAAATGTAGATCTTTTCAAAGTCACAATCAGGCATGGAGAAAGAATAAAAATACCTGTGAATGTGAAAGAACATAAAATTTACCTACCACGCAGAGTTTTACTAGAAATTGACTAAGGATATGACCAATTGAGATTGTTAATCAGGATATAGGAAGGTAAGGAATCCAGGAAACTGGGTTTAACCCAGGATCTCACTGAAAACGGATCCTACTACAGCAGTTTCTTGGCAAGCAAAGAATACCTGACTACATAAGTGATATTTAGAAAGTGATAAACTTTTTTTTTCAAATTTAGAATTAATCTGTGAGCAAAGCCCAAGGAATCTTATTGCTACAGCAGAATGTCAATATTTTCAGCTTTGACAATATTGGGGGGAAAAAAAAGATGTAGATACTTCATTTTGGCAACTGGAAGTGTAAAGGAGAGGGGAAAGGGAGGGTGAAAATGCCAATAACTTCATCTTCCAAGAAGGAGGGGAAGAGGCATTGCCCATACTTACAGAAGTCACAAAGATCAATATATTTAAATTACAATCACAACTGGAAAAAGTATGTAAAATGACTCATGAATTAGAGCAAGGTTTTAGAAATTGGACTATTATTTCAGTTACAAAAAAAATGGACTGTTATTCTTCGGCCTAAGCTATTCAGAAGCTGCAAGAGCCCCTCAGAGTCGGCCCAAATTAGAGCAGGTTTTATACTCCTATACTGACCAATCATTATAGGCGAGTTCCTCCTGGGAAGTGGATCAAAATCCGATGAGGCAGCTTTCATCACCTAAGGCAATTCCGGGGCGTGACTGAAAGCTGAGGGCAGTCAGCCAGCAACATTCCCAGCAATGACAGAATAAATCGTTCAGTCTCAAAGGGAGGAGTTTAGGTACAGTGGAACAGCACTGACGGCAGAAACACTGTTCTAGTTCCTGGGAGTACATATACATTCATGTGGAAGAAAACAAACAGATAAAATTCAGCATCTATTTAAAAATTAAAAATAAAACTACCACATGATCCAGCAGTTCCACTTCTGGGTACATATGCAAAGAAAATGAAATCTGTATCAAAGAGATATCTGCACTCCCGTGTTTATTGCAGCACTATTCACAATGGCCAAGAGATGGAATCAACCTAACTATCCATCAGCAGATGAATGGATAAAAAAAATGTGGTGCATATACACAATGGAATACTATTCAGCCGTATAAAAGAAGGAAATCTTGTCATTTATAGCATGGACGAACCCATTGGACAGTATGCTAAGTGAAATAAGCCAGGCACAGAAAGACAAATACGACATGACCTAACTTATATGCAGAATCTTAAAAAGTCAAAGTCATGGAGGGGGTGGGGTGTGGGGAGAGGGAGAAAAAGGAATGAGATGTTGGTCAAAAGGTATAAGTTTCAGTTAGAGAGGAGGAATAAGTACTGAAGATCAATTGTGCAGCATGGTGACTAGTTAACAATATCATACAGTTGTCCCTTGGCATCCATGAGGGATTGGTTCTAGGACCCTTCCTGGATACCAAAATATAAGAATGCTCAAGTCTCTTATTAAAAATGGCTTAGTTTTTGTACATCACCTAAGTATGTTTTCCCATATACTTTAAATCATCTTTGGATTACTTATAATACTTAACGCAATGTAAATGCTATGTAAATAGTTGTTATACTGTATTGTCTTTTAAGTTGTATTATTTTTATGTTGTATTGTTGTATTTTATCATTTTTTCCAAATATTTTCAATCCATGGTTGACTGAATCAGAGGATGCAAAACCCACAAATACAGGGCCAGCTGTATTGTATATTTGAAAATTGCTAAGACAGATTTTAAATATTCACACCACATAAAAAAATAAGTATGTGAAGTGATGGATATGTTAATTAGCTTGATTTAATCATTTCATAGTGTATACATATATCGAAATGTCAATTGTACCTTATAAGTACTCAATTATTTGTAAATTAAAAATAATTTAAATTTTTTGAAATGTAACATTCTTAACTTTTTCTTGTTCAAATAAAGTTTTCTGTTCTTTATTTTCAAAAACTTTTTTGTTTAAAAATATCATCTCAATCATCTCAATTTCTATTAACTCAATTGATTCACCCTATTAACTTATGAACTCTCCTCTGAAGTTAAACATTCCATGATTATTGAGAAGGGTAAAGTTAATGTGCAGTAAGATCTTAGCCCACAGTAAAAAACAAATCTCAGTGATGTCACTCAATAAAGAGACTTAATTCCACAGTTTCTCCAGTGACTCAGGTTATATGGAGTTTCCATCGTCTCATCGTGCATCTACTTGCAAGTTCCATTGGCTAGTATTAGTCAAATGATCCCAACCTAACAGCAGAAAAGACTGGGAGATGTAAAGAACCTTATGGCATATTGACGAGCACCATTGTCTCTGAAAGATATGCTGATATTTCCTAAGGTAAGGACAAATGCTCACAACTGGCAGGTTGTTCTCTAGAACACCCACATACTTTCCTCCAAGTTATATGCCTACTAAGACTCAATTCTTCTTGTTAGCAAACTTATTTATAAAAAATGTACTTGTTACTTTAATTATCAATTAAAGATTATACTACCCAATGAAATCTGGGTGCAAAAAATAATTGTTTCTATGAAACTGTCAGTGGAAGAAAGGGAAAAAGACTTTGATCCTCTCATAACCAGGATGTGTTCAGTGTGACAATGTTGAACTGAATGTTCTAGAATCTGTGTTGGACTGCATTAAATACGGTCATAGGCTGCATGCAGCCCGCGGGCTGAGGGTTGGAAAAGCTTGTCTGACTTAATGACAAACCCAGAGACTGACATGTAGACCATCTTCAGGGCTGAGCCCACATCAAAGGGGTCACAGTGTGTAGTAACATCCCTCATAATCGGGAAGAGGGTGTCATCAGGAATGAACAGGTTACGATGTCAATGACAAAGGGAGCTCAGACAAGGAATGAGATGGCTGTGAACAGGTACCCCCACTGAGGGACCCTAGAACCAGAGGAAGCTCTGCCATTTGACCTGTGTCCTCCACAAGAAACAAACTTCCCCTACACCACTCTACTGTGAGGAGGCTCTGGAGGCTGAGGTGCTCCACATGGCTGGTGTAGACATCTGCACACTGGAAGTCATTTCCAGCATCAGAAGGATCTGGAAAACCCAGTCCTCCTTCCTAATAAGAGGGATGAGCACGCTGGCTGGCAGCATCCTGTGCACAGGATGGTGTGTTTGGGAGGTGTGCATGTTACCCAGGCTTGGACAATCAGAATCTTTCCCCAAATTATTAAAACTCTGGTAGACACTTCAGAAACATATACAACAAAGACAGACACACACACACGCACGTACACACACTCACACGAAGAGAGAGATGAGATAAGGTGTGAGGTGATAAGAGAGATGCAGAAAATAAAGAGATGCAAAAAGAAAAAGAGAAAGAAATGCAGATAAATAGTGACAAAGGATTACAAACATAGAGAAAGGCAACAATGCACTGAAAGAGACACAAGAAGGGAACAAAGACAAAACTGGAGAGAGACACACAGAAAGAACTACACAGGGACAAAGAGACACACGGAGAGGAGAGGAGGATGCACAGATGAAACTATAACAGAAAGAGAAGAGAGATGAAGATCTCATTGAATATCTGGAACTAGTCACTTCTGAAACCAACATTCCTTGTAACATGAATCAAATATCTTTGGGTTGGGTGTCTATCATTTGGAACCAAAAATAGTACTTTCATTGCTGGTTATGCTTTCTTAAAAATAAAAATTAGTCTTGATTGATGTGACTTGCCAGCCAGAATATATTTGAAACATCAGTCACTATAGTTGTCCCCAAACAATTCCACCATGCTTACTTAGACAACACTCGCCAAACCAGAAGAGAGGCTGGGATGTCCTAAGGCCATTGCACTGAACATCAATATTAAAGAACCATGAATGATGTGATGACTGAATTGATTTTCTACCTCCTCTGCCTACCCTTACTTTGCACCCCAAGATGCTTTCAGTGTCTTTTCAAAGTACAACCCTCTTTCTAGCCACGGTTTGGCTGGGTCACCTCAAGGTATGTTCCTTCACTTGGCAGTGGTTTCCTACCTCTGCTTAGTTAAGGAAGTTCCGAATACAGATAACTCAGAATCAGGTTTAATTATGGGAAAAAGCACTAAAGTCAGGTAAATGATTTTGTTTGTCATGCTTCTCTTGACAGGTCTGTGGGGGGAGAATGGAAACAGAGATGCCCCTTGGGGCCTGAGTAGACACAGCTTGCAGTGCACAGGCAGAGGCTCTGGGTCAGTGCAGGAAGCAGAGTCACCACCAGTGCCTTGGGATGGGGATCACAGAAGGTGACCTGTGGCTGCATGAGCCACTGTAGGACTCTGACCTCAGTGGGACAGGGTGACACAGGCAGCTAGGAATTCTGGGCAGGGGCAGGTGGGCATTACAGAAGAGTGATGACCAATCCCAGACAAAAGTCCTCAGGAGTCAGTGCAGGAGTCCTGGAGAAGAGAGACGAGGCATGATCAGCACAGGGTACCCTGAGGGACACACCCTCTCCCCTAGTCCTCAGTTCCCTCTGTAGCATCAAACAGAGGATGCTGAGGTCCAGGGCATATCATCATCACGTTCCCCAATATCTGTGTAAAGGTAAAATCAGCTCATGAGGACACAGAACTTCAGCTTGATGCAGATATGTGGAGGTGGGGGAACAGCAGTTACCCTTCTGGGTAATATGAAGAGTTTGATTTTTTTAGTAAATTGGGTGACACTTCATCTCCACCACTAGCAGCCTCTTTTAGTCACTGAAAATGCCTACAGGCAGTAGCTAACAAAATGTGGCACAAAGTGGGCATCACCCTACTATCTCACATTCAAGATGTGGCTCTGTCCCCACATTTCACAAAAAGATGCCACCAAAGTTAAGGCCTGGTTCTAGGAAACAATCTCTGGAGATTCGTAGAAACTGGCAAACTTTTCCCCTAAGTCTTAACCCTCATAGCAGCAAACAGGCCATGAACAGAGACCACTGTGCCCTGGAACACTCCGCTCATGCTCTTCTTTTTTTTTTTTTGAGACAGACTCTAGCTCTATCGCCCAGACTGGAGTGCAGTGGCGCCATCTTGGCTCACTGCAACCTCTGCCTCCTGGGTTCAAGTGATTCTCTTGCCTCAACCTCCCAAGTAGCCGGGATTACAGATGCACACCACCACGTCCAGCTAATTTTTGTATTTTTAGTAGAGATGCGGTTTCACCATGGCTCTTCCCTCTTATGCCTGTGCCCTCTCCCCTGACTGGATCATGGCTGAAATATTACCTGCTGGTGGAGGCCCTCGAGGTCCTACAAAAGGAAGTTATACAGAGAAAGGTCTTGTTAAACAAACAACCACTATCTTACCCCAAAGGAAAATGACACATGTAGTTTAATTGGGGTTATATCCTCTTCCCTCCCATGTTCTTTAAGTCCTTAAGCACCCTAAGTTAAAATCCCCCAAAACAAAGGAAATTGTCACTAGAAGACAAGGAGGCCAAGGCTCTGACCCTCATAATGGAGGAAGCTTTTAGAAAGGAGCCAGTGAGACGATGATGAACGGTAAGGACGCCCTGGAATAAGCTCTATCAGTCAGCTCTGGCAGCGCTACCATTCACCCAGTAAAATCAGATTCCAATGCCTCCTCCAATCTTGTCCTGTCTCCTCGCACTTCCTCTCAGGGTAAGGAGGAAAGAGCTACATCTAGAGACAGAACCTCTCTGAATAGAGGGTCTGGGTCACAGCTCATCTTCCCCATTTCCCCCTTGGGTTCCTCACCTTTCTGACCCCTGTGACGGATGATAAGGCCCAGCCCGAGGAAGATCAGCCCCAGCACGAAGCCTCCAATGCCACTCAGCATCTTGCTCTGGGCAGATTCAGACTGAGCCCCTAAGGAGCAGAACTGAGTGTGAGTGTTTGTCCCCACACCCCATAATGTCCTTGGTACAGGAGGTGGAGATGTCAGGGGACACTAGTTCTCCAGTCTGACCACCCTAGGGAAGAGAAAGACCAGCCAGTAGGTCTTTGGACACAATAGGTGGGTGAGGGAGAGGAAGAAGCGCACCCCTGCCCCTCAGGACTTCATCCATAACCTTAAACCCTAAGGCCCCAGTCACCAGCCCTAAGTCAGTCTCTCATAGCTGTCAGAGCTGGTTCTGGGGCTTTAGTAGTGTTGATATGGTTTGATTCTGTGGCCCCACCCAAATTTCATGTTCAATTGTAATTAACAATGTTGGAGGTAGAGCCTGGTGGGAGGTGACTGGATCATTAGACCAGATTCTTGTCACCATCTCCCTTAGTACTGTCATTACAATAGTGAGTTCTCATGAGATCTGGTTATGTAAAACTGCGTAGCACCAACCCCCTCTCTCTCATGCTCCTGCCCCTGCCCTGTGAGACACCTCACTCCCTCTTTTCCTTCTGCCATGATTAGGAGCTTCCATATGTCTCCCCATAAGCAGAAGCCACTATGCTTCCCCTGCAGCCTCAGAATCATAAGCCAGTTAAACCTCTTCTCTTTATAAATTACCCATTCTCAGGTATTTCTTTATAGTGGAGTGAGAAGAGCCAATTAAACCTCTTTTCTTTATAAATTACTCAGTCTCAGAGATTTCTTTGTAGCAGTACAAGAATGGACTAACACAAATGTGGAAAGTGATCTCCCTGGTATCTGGAAAGACAAAGAGATCAGGATTCATCTGATGTGCTTGCCATGGGGCAACAGGTGCTCTAGTCTCCTGTGATTCCCAGCTCAGTAGTGATGTCAGGGACAAGAGATGGGATGGGAAGGATCAGCGGGAGCTCTGCCCTTTGTCTTGTGGGGCCCACAGTAAAAGGAAACCAGTTTCCCCTTACGCCACTCCACGGTGATGGGGCTCTGGAGGCTGGGGTGCTCCACTTGGCAGGTGTAGATGTCTCCACGCTGGGGAGTTATTTCCAGCATCACCAGAATCTGGAAGGTCCAGTCACCATTCCTAATGAGGGAGGTGGACACAACACCGGCTGTCTCCTCCTGGTCATTCCGAAACCACCGGACTTTGATCTGGGCTGGATAGAAATCTGTCACTGAGCAGACCAGCAGGTTGTGGTGGTTGAGGGCCTCTGTCCTGGATGGGGAGATGGTCACTGTGGGCTCCACTGAGGGCAGTAACAGACAGGGAAAGATATAGGAGTGAGATGTGAGACCACACAGCACGCCTGCTGTGAGGAAGGTCCCTCCTTGGAACCAGAATAGAAAGATACCTGGAGTCCAAGTCTTGGATTAAGGTTCCTTCAACAAATATAAATTTGACAATCACTGAGAATCCAAAAATAAACAACAAACCCTGGTTCCTGCCTTTATAGAACTTGCAATCTAGTAACAGAGACCAAAAAATTGAATGTTATTTCAAAAGTTTGTAATATTTGAAGGAAAAGTAGGCAGGCCTTGAAAAAAACTAACACTGATCAAACATCATGTTTGCCCATAACTCAATTCCTTTATCTTCTCAGAGCGCTGCTCATGGTCAAAAATGACACACCTTTCCCTGCATATTTTATACATCTTAACCTTTACCTCTCTGGCCATTTTACTGCATTTCCTTTATTTCTTTAGTGTAAAATTATAGTAAATATTTAATGTATGCTTTATTTACTTGGTAATATGTTCTCTCATTTTCCTGCTTTTTCTTAATTTCCTTTTAACCCTCAAGATAGTGTAATTACTAGCTGCCTACCCTACTCCATCCCCTTGCTATTGAGAATTACTTTCTTGTTCTGAAATCAGACATTATCATGTACGTTCTCCATAGGAAATATTCTGAGATCCATGCAGAGGTTGGCCTGGGTGAATGTGCCTGTAATGCAAACATATACATATAGCTGGGATTTGCTGAGGTCAGCAGGTAGCACCCCAATTAAATGGCACTCATGAGCCATTGTCTGGAAGGAATCTTGGTTTCTGCTTGGACTTGAACTTTTCTTTAGGCCCTCCTTCCTGGAGTCTGACTGAAATAACAGTCAGCTATGTGGGGACTTACAAGATTTGTTCATCTTAAAAAGACTGAAAGTAAAAATAGAGGGCACAAATTCATGAGAAAAAAATGATAGAATAACTTTTATAGAAATAGACTTGAAATGGCAAAAATATAAATAATTGACAGCATTAGGATGTGGGTCAGAAGAAGGCAAGGAAGTTTTGTGAACCTGCATAGATAACACTGGGGTCAGACTAGGGATTGATTAATCAGTGAATTTTCAATGCCTTGAAAGTATCATTTTGTCCCATTAACAGTGAAAACAGGCAGGAATAGACCCATTGCTGCTTCTTGTCAAAATTGGCTTTAACAAGGCTTTACTTCCCTTAGGCTGTGTAGACGAGTATTGAAGAACATAAAAGAATGCTGTGTATTTGGGGGAGGCTTCAGGTCCTGGTGCATAACTGTGGGTTGATTACTTAAAGTGTTTATCATGTACCAATATTACGATATATAAAGTGGCAATGCTAATCTCTAATGCACAGGTAACTGTGCTATTAAATGACATAACTTAGATGGTGTTTGCTAAGGCAATTGTCTAGAAATAAGTGCTCACTAAGTGGGTAAAATTGACGTTCAGAATGTTTATGCCTGAAGTGGATAGTGATGGGGGGAGGGAGAAAATCTACTCCAAAAGCAACCTGAAACTATTTTTATTCAATAATTTAGTGGCTTCAATCTATGTATTCCAAAGCTTCTGCTCTTTTCATTGTGCCATTTGTTCAGCTTTTCTAAGAAATTAAAACTGCCTTATAACACCATTCAAGCGTTGTTTTTATTTTCAGCAAACACCTTTTTCCCCAGACTGCATTCACAAACCTTACTAAGATCCAAGTCAATAAGAGTTTACAGCATTAAGCAAAATAATAGAAAATAATTGATAAAGTCCATCTTTAAGGCTCTATTTATCCTCTGCTTTCCCTTGAGCCTAAGTGGATGCGCAGCTGAGTACATTTATTCATTAATTTAACAGAAGATCATTGAGCTCATACCACATGCCGGTCCACGAGTCAGGTACTAGGCATGCAATGATTAAAACACTCTCACCTCAAAGAGCTCCGCCATGAATGAGAGCCGTTTAAGAAAACAGAATTACGATGAATAATAATTTGAAGCCAAAAGTTAAAATATCTTATTTCACAACTGTAATTGCTGGATGCCCTGCGCGCAGTTGTGGAGCAGCCCTAACTCCACCAGGCCAAGCCTGAAGCTTCCTGCGGCGCGAGCTGTGCAAGTGGGCCTTGCTGGGTGGGGCAGTGCTAGTGGGGCGGACGGGCAGGGGAAGAGGGCGGGCATTCGGGCAGAAAGAACTGCTTAGCGAAGGTAAGGCACGAGGAGGCAAACGCATAAGGCACAAGGCAAGAACATGCAGAGCAGAGGACAAGGCCGATGGACGGGGAGGCTGGGGACACACTGGGCAGCCTAACCCAACCCTGCAGGGAACTAAGGGATGCTTTTGTGCATCCCCCTGCTCTGCCCTAGATCCCCGCCCCTCCGATACTACCCCAGCCTCCAAATCCCCGCCACCTTCCTGTACCCTGGGATGGATCAGGGCTCGGTCCTTGAGGCCGCGCCGTCCTCGCCCCTCTGTGCGCAAGAGACTCGGGCCCCGGCCAAGGGTGAGCCCCGCGGAAGGACGACGACGCTCACCTTGCCGCTGCAAGGTCGTGCGCAGCTCCGCCTCGTAGTTGTGTCTGCACACCTTGTCCACCGCGGCCCGCTCCTGCTCCAAGAAGTCCTTATAGTTGTTCCAGTCCTCGATGCTCCGCCCCAGCTCGGTCACCGCCTGGAACTCCCCAACGTCGCTGTCGAAGCGCCCGTACTCCTCGCGGTTATAGATGTATCTGGCCACACCGCGCACGCGCTCTGTCCCGTTGGTGAAGTAGCACATGCCCTTAAACTGGACCAAGAAATCCTCTGCGGAGAATCACGGCGGGTCAGTCAGGCCCCAGCACGGCCCTAGCCCCAGCCCCCAGCCGGACCGCACCCTTCAGCCGCTGCCCTGACCCGGCCAGCAGCTGCGAAACCCGTCCACGCGAAATTGAGTTCTTGGCTGGGCCCGTGCCTCGTGCTCCGGACCTGGGATCCTCGAGGCATCTCTGCCCCAGCCCTGCCCGCCCTCTCTGAGGGCCTCGGGAATCTGCCTTCCTTTAGGGAGGTAAGAGGGAAAGCCCAGTCCCTGCCTGAGCCTGTGAACCAAGTGAAGAGGGCAGTCGGACCGATTCAACATTGACCTCTGCTCTTAGATCAGGGCGTTCTCGTATGAAATCCCATTTTCCATGGAGCTCTTGGGAATCTCGGAGACAGAGTTATCCACATAAATTTGAGAGTTCAAGGGAATAACGAGAAAGGTTCAGGAATTAAGCTTGTTCTCATCCTGATGTAAGTATTCTCTTGGTCCCTGGGCAAGAGACCAAGTAAACCCATGCCTGGATTTACTCTCTTTCTGCTATACCCGCCCAAGTGCCCTGTGAGGTTCACTCACTTCTGTGTTAGAAAGGACCTACACCTCCGGAGTCCTAGAAGGAAACATTTATTCATGGAAAGAGCCCAAGCTTTTGAATTCTATAGGGTCCAATTAAACTGAGTCAATCACCAGCTTGGGCAGGTTACTTAACAGAATATCCATATCACAAGTATAATTACATAAAAGGAAAATCATGATACCTACACATAGGATGTTAGGAGGAGTGAGAGAGGATTTATAGAAAGTACTGTCCTGTGTCTGAATGGAGTGGTTTCTCAATATGTATTATTTCCCTTCTTTACTTCCTCCTTCCTATCATACTAAATTCAGTCCACCATCAACTCAGGTCCCTGAATCCCACTCAAGTCACCTTTTGCCCATAAATCAGTGAAACCCAAAGTAAGACTCCCTGTCTGTGGTCATCCAGTCACCTTCCCTCAGTACTAAGAGTTTGCCTCCACAAACTCTCCACTCGAGTCAGTAGTATAGACTCCTTTACCTCCAATACAGAGACTACAGACACCATTGCTGCCTTACATTTTCCCAGTGCAGAAAAATCCTACTGTGTCTTTGGGGAAATGTATATCTTTGGGGAAATGCATAACCGTGGAGTGCCATGGTCATTTTGTCCTGTCACAGGTAGTGAATGCACACTTTGTCTCCTCTTTCCTCTCTCCTCCTTCAGGCTTAAACCTGTGGGATTGGGGTTGGATTATCCTCACCTCACCCATTATAAGGTGGAAATAAAAATGCAACATAGCTCTATTTCCCAAAAAGAATAAATGGTGATAAAAGACTGTGTTCTGAGATCATGGAGATCACCATCCCCCATACTCCAACCCAAGGAGAGCCTGTTCCCACAGTGGTGGCTCTCGAGAGCAGCTGCCCTGCACTTACTGGGAAAGTCTCTGGCCTCAGCCACTGGGGTGCTCAGCATCACCAGCATCACGGTCACAGCTGCTGCCCAAAAGCCTCCAGGGATCTGCAGAGCCATCTTCCAAGACGTAAGTGAGACCAAGGAAAAAGCAGTGGTAGTCAACACAGCTCAAACCTAATGGAACTTATGTACCTGCCGGAAAGAATAAAAACCTCTGGATGTTTCCATGTGTGGTAGGATTGGGGAGTCCCTAGGAAAGGAACCAATCAGCACTGGAGCTGAAGGACCTCATCTGCCTCTGGGCAGACGTTTTTCTGTGAAGATTCTCACTCCAATGCCTGGCACTGTTTCTTCTTCAAATTGCACTAGATGAACATTTGAGGTGAAGATTTCTGAATAGCTGAAGATTGAATGGCTTAGGGGTTTTAAGAAGCAAAAGACAAATGTGATTCAAGAGTAGACATCTTACAACCTATTGTTCTTACACTTGGGATTTTTAGTAGGGCAAATTAAGTGAGGATCATATTTCAGGGAACAGAAAATTGTCACAGAAATGTTCACTTCTATTAGACACTCTGAAGAGCCTTAAGTTTTGGTGAGAAGAGCAAAGTTCTTAGAAGGAAATGATGGTGAGTTGCAGTTCTACCACTAATGTGCTTTATGAGAGTCAACAAATTACTGAACTCCTTTTCACCCCCAGGCTTCTCTTTGCAAAATGTGGATCATGTTTTATGCATTTTACATCTAGATCTTCACATATAAAAATTTAACATTAATATGACTAGTTTAATATTACAAAAGCCTCCTCCACTGTTATGTGTAACTATCAGGCTAATAGGAGGAACAAGAAAAAAAAAAGTTGACACCCAGCCCTACTGGCAAGTGATTCTTTATTATGCAAGAAGGTATTGCATTCATGCTCTTCGAGTGAAAGTATTTGTTGACTTTTCTCTTGTAAGTTCTTCAGCTGCTTAAATCCTCCCTGAACCATGAAACAGGTGCATCTGATATGAGCAAAGGCACAATACACAAATTTTACAGTATTCAGACACAGTCACATTTAGTTTTGAAGATAGAGAGCAAAAGCTGTGAAGAAGAATTTCCTGGGGGCTGAATCGTATTAATGATGGAGCAAATGTTTAGAGTTACAGGTCATATTGGGCCAGCCCTAAACATCAAATCCAAAATGGCAGAGGTACCAATGTGTTTTTATAAATAAATTTCTTACTTATCAGGCTTACGTTGCCCATGGCTAGGGATAGTACTAATGGTTATAAAGCAATTAAAACAATGCCTGACAAACATTACTGGTAATCCTAACCAAGACAATAAATATCTCCACCTCTCTTCTTGTCTCCCTTCCTCCCACTCTTCCCTGTATATTAGTAAAGTAGAAGATAGAGAGCATCTAAAAGCAGAATATGTTTACCAGGTAAAAAGAAACAGGGAAGAGACGGTAGCAAGAGGTTTGCAATAGTGGCACATGAAAGCATTGAGCCACTCTAATATTCTGTATTATTCTGTGCATAGATTTAGATCACCTGAGACTGGGAACGTTGTTACTGGGCTTCTAGCAGCAGTGGTGTACTCAGGATCAGGGTAACCCCCAGTCTAAGGAGGGTCTCCACTGGTGCGATGGAAGCATAAAGGAGGAACATCAAACTCAGACCTAGAACGGAACTGGGGGCAAGAAAGAATAGGCAGAGAGGGACCTGAAGATGCCCTCAATGTCCTCTCAGTCCCCACCTCAGCGTCCCTCAGAATAGAGGCCTCTGGCCCACCCCTTCTTCCTGTTCAAAGGGAGAAGCTTCCCTCAGGTTTATTCTGGGGCTGTGAGGCAAAGTCTACGTCAAACCTAGGGACTCCCCAGTCTCATGGGCCTCTTCAAACAGACTTTTTTCTTTTCTTTTCCTTTTTTTTTTATTTTCCTTTTTTCTTTTCTTTTCTTTTTTAGGGACAGGGTCTGGCTCTATCACCTAGGCTGGAGTACACTGGCATGATCATGGCACACTGCAGCCTCAACCTCTTAGGCTCAAGTGATCCTCCTGTCTGAGCCTCCCAAGTAGCTGGGAGTACAGGCACACACCGCCATTCTGTCTAATTTTTTAAAAATTTTTTATAGAAATAGGATTTTGCTATGTTGCCCAGGTTGGTTTCAATGTCCTGGCCTCAAGCAATCCTCCCACCTCGGCCTCCCAAAGCACTGGGATTATAGGTGTGAGCCACCACACCTGGCCACACAGACTTTTCAACTAGCAACGAAAGTGTCAGCTTAGAGCCATTTTCTGACTGGCTAAAACCTCATCTGAGGCCAGGTGCAGTGGCTCACCCCTGTAATTTTCTAGCGCTTCGGGAGGCCAAGGCAGGCAGATCACTTGAGGTCAGGAATTTGAGACCAGCCTGGCCAACATGGTGAAACCCGTCTCTACCAAAAATAAAAAAAATTAGCCAAGTGTGGTGGTGCATGCCTGTAATCTCAATTACTCAGTAGGCTGAGGCAGGCGAATCGCTTGAACCCAGGAGGCAGAGGTTGCAGTGAGCTGAGTTCGCACCACTGCACTCCATTGCACTCCAGCCTGGGGGACAAGAGCAAAACTCTGTCTCAAAACAAAACAAAACAAAAAAAAAAAACACCTAATCTAAAAGGCTTTGGTTTGGGGCTTCTGCCAGTTGTGTCCCCCTGATCCAGCCTTCTCTACAGTTCTTTGCAATGTTCCTATCCCTGCTCCATTACTCAGGGCAGCCACTATTGGCCTGGCCAGAGGAAGGCAACTCAGACAAGCATCCTGATTCTGAATGCCTCGCCCAAATCACCCACCCGGCCTCTGTGGGGACAGAGCGCTTAGGATGAGACCACACGCACCCCATGTGGGAAGATGGGATAAAGACACTGCTGTTATTATGGGTCAAGGTTACACTAGGGAGACTCTCCCCAGGGCACATTGTCTCTTCTTTCAGGGCAGAAAAAGGTTGTGGACTCCTTCTTTGTGGAATCAAGGGAGAAATCATCTTCCCTGGTCAGCATCTCTTAGAATCTGTGCCTGGTCAGTGCAGTTGAATGTAAACACAGGAGTCATCCTGTCACCAGAAGGGTTATCCAGGACTCTGTCCTGCAATTACTTCCAGAATCAAGAAACACTGTAGAGTCAGAAAGGTTCTGTGGCCTCCTTAATGCCGGTGGTAACATAATTAGAAATACGGCCCCAGAATATCATTTTCCTTTAATAAAAATTTATCAAGTAATTATCTCCAAATTTTTCAAAACCTTGTGAAGCTACTTACATATTTCTCTTATATCAACTTTTAGGTAACCGGTTACATGAATTTTTCATGACACATATAAGGTAGGCCTTTTCTCTTTAAACAGTTATCTCTTTAAAATGACAATTTAGAAAGTCTGAAGAGAGAGTCTGTAGCATTCAGAGGCTGTGCTCAAACAGTGCCTCCTTCAAGCAAGTAACCATGGGGAGACTCCATAGTGGAAGTCAGGTAAGGACTTGGAGGATACCGCAGGGTGAAGGACTAGGAGTATGGGAAAAGCTTTAGCAGGAAGATAGAAAATCAGATGATACAAGGCATTTGGGACACTTGGGGGAAATGGGGAAGGTGAGTGATCTCTGGCACAGGAGTCCAGAGCCCACCAGTCTCATGGCTTCTCATGCAGTATGGAAATGGCCCTTGAAAACAGAAGAAGACTGGGACGAAAACCCAGGCTGCCTGCTATGGACGTGTGTACAACGGAGCTTTGTTTCCTGATCTGTTTCTACAGGTTTCTTCTTCCAGTCAATCTCATCCATGCATCACCTCAGCTGGACCACTGACGATTTCATCACCCAGAGCTAACCTACACATGTCACTCTTTGCAACATATCTGTTCGTCTCTACTTCTGGTTCCCTAGTAATGCCTGGGATATTTCCAGAGACAACTCTTCCCCAGCTTCTAGATTTGTAGTCATCATGTGCCTTCATTCCCAGACAAACCTTAAATATCTCTCTATGAGATCTTTATAATGTCTTCTTCTACAAGTTCTTACCAGTAGAGAGAAGAACTAATATTCAGGTATGTAAAAAATATTTCAGTCCTATTTAAGCTCATGTCCAAGTACTCAAGAATTCAAGTGTCCAGCTCAGCTCAAGGTCATGGTTCATGCAAAAAAGCAACATTAGCAGTAATATTTTGGGGGGACTACTCATATCCTCAAATAGGAAAACTTAAGATATTCAATTTAAACCTCAATGACATATCAATCCATGCTTTTCAGGATGACTATTATCAAAAAGACAAAAAATAACAAGTGTTAACAAGGACGTGGAGATAAGGGAACATTTGCACACTGTTGGTGGGAATGTAAATTAGTATGGCCACTAGGGAAAACATTATGAAGGTTCTTCAAAAAGTTAAAATAGAACTGCCATATGATGTAGCAATCCCACTTCCAGGATACAGACAAAGGATTTTAAATCAGTAGGTTGAAAATATATCCACACTCCCATGTTCATTGCAGCATTATGCACAATAGTCAAGGTATGAAATCAACCTGTGTCATTCAGCAGATGAATGGGTAAAGATAATGTATGTATACACAATGGAATTCTATTCAGGCTTTAAAAAGAAAGAAATCCTGGTGTAAGCCGAAAAGTGACTGAGGCAGGTCTCAATCAATTAGAGGTTTATTTTGCCAAGGTTCAGGATGCACCTGGGAAAAACACGAATCACAGGAGCATCTGTGATCAATGCTTATTCCAAAGAGGGTTTTGAGAACTTCAATGTTTAAAAAGAAAGAGTAAGCAGGAAGGGAAAGAGAGAGGAAAAAAAAAAAAAAAGGAGGGAAGGTAGGCAATGACACAAGTGGTTACATTCTTGTGAGTCTGATTAGCCTCAGTAAATCTACATTTTACATGTGAAAAGAGGGAGTAGAGGAAAAAGTCACTTATGCAAAAACAATAACATTGTAGAATCTTCCCAAAAGATTCATTTTCTATTCTCACAGACCGACAATTCCACTCAAGTTAATTTCTGCAAAAGCATCCTAACTGGTCTTCCTGCCTCTACTTTATAATGTCAACATTGCTCATAAATCCAAGTTAATCTCTCTGAGTATGAGTTTCTTTAACTGCAAAATGAGAATATTATCTATTCCATAGAGTAATGCCAAGGATTAAATGAAGTGGCAAATATATAGCATCTAAAATAGTTTTGAACACATAGTAGATGCTCAATAATAATTTTTTTTAATTTTTAATATAATTTTAATTCAATAGCTTTTAGGTTACAAGTGGTTTTTTGTTATATGGATGAATTGTATAGTGGTGAAGCCTGGAATTTTAGTGAACCTGTTACCTGAGTAGTGTGCATTGTACTCAATATGTAGTTTTTTATCCTTCACCCTCCTTCCCATCCTCCCCAATTTCTTACTCTCCATTGTCCTTTATACCATTCTGTATGCCTTTGAGTACCCATAGCTTAGTACCCACTTAGCTCCTACTTACAAATCAAAACATATGGTATTTAGTTTTCCATGCCTCAATTAGAAGTTGTAAATTTTGATGGAGTCCAATTTATATATTTTTTTTTCATTTCTTGCCTATGCCCTCGGTGTTATATCCAAGAAATCATTGCCTAATCAAATATCATGAAGATTTTCCCTATTTTTTTTCTAAGAGTTTTATGGTTTTAGTTTTCACATTTAGGTCTTTGATTCATTTTGAGTTCATTTTGTCTATAATGTAGGGTAAGAGTCCAGTTTCATTCTTTTGTATGTGGACTTCCAGTTTTCCCAGCACCATTGTTGAAAAGGCTGTCCTTTCCGCATTTAATGGCCCTGGCACTCCTGTTGAAAATCGTTTGACTATATATGTCAGGATAATTTCCTGGTTTTGATATTGCACTTTAGTTATGTAAGATGTTACAATTGGGGAAAACTGGATGAAGGCTATACAGAATCTTTTTGTTCTATCTTGGTAACTCCCTTTGAATCTACAATTATTTCAAAATATAATGTTAAAAAAGCAAAGCCAACCGAAATAATGTGTTTATCTTTTAACAAACTAATTCAATAAGATACCTAATAAAAATTACCCAATGTGAAATACAAAGAGAAAAGAAGAGCAGGGGAAAAACAAAACAGATCATCCAAGAGCTGCAGTGCTGTATTGAATGGTTACATCACCTTTGTTTGTTTGTTTGTTTGTT
This sequence comes from Homo sapiens, assembly GCF_000001405.40. NCBI lineage: Eukaryota > Metazoa > Chordata > Mammalia > Primates > Hominidae > Homo > Homo sapiens. The sequence continues at coordinate 4,075,687 of NT_167244.2, forward strand.
TGTTTGTTTGTTTTGAGACAGGGTGTCACTCTGTTGCCCAGGCTGGAATGCAGTGGTGCGATCACAGCTCACTTCATCCCCCACCCTCGCCCCCAACTCAGGCAGTCCTCCCGTCTTAGCCTCTTGAGTAGCTGGGAATACCAGCACCATGCTTGCCCACTTAATTTTTCTCTCTTTGTAGACAAGGTCTCCTTATGTTGCCCAGGCTGCTCTTTAGGTTCAAGCATTCCTCCCACCTCAGCCTCCCAAAGTGCTGAGATTACAGATGTGAAACATTGTGCCAGGCTTATTTTTTTAATGTACTTTTACTCTCTTTCTCTCTTTGTGTTTCACTCTGGGTAATTTTTATTGATCTATTTCAAACTCACTGATTCTTCCCAGGGCTGTACCACATTTGCTGATGAGCTTGTCAAATGCATTCTTTATTTTTGTTAATTTATTTTTATTTTATTTCCATTTCATTCATCCTTAAAGCTTTCATATCTCTGCTGAAACTGTCTAATCTTGCATGTTGTCTACCTTTTCCATTAGAGATTTTAGTATATTAATCACAGTTTATGAAGCAGGTTTACTAATTACCAATACCAAGGGAGGAAAGGGAGGACTTCCACTGCATGGAGAATAGAAAAGATCATCACTATGCCAACCACCAGGAAAAGAGGTCCAGATACTTCTTCCCACTGCATTCTGAGCTACTGTTTATGTCCACCATGCACTGGCTACCTGTTTATCTGAGTCTGGTGAAACAGAACACACTCACACACAAATTATGTGAAGCAGTTTTATTACTTACAGATCAGTAGCAAGGGACAGAAGAAGCCTCAGCTCCATTGTGAGTCAGTCTCCTAAAGCTCAAGAAAGCTGCCCAGGAGAGATGAAGTCTTAACCGCACCAATTACTCTATTATAGCCTAAAGTGTAAGTCACAGCTCAAACTCTTGATCACTTCATTCATATTACATGTTCCAAAAAACAACCACAGGAAAACTTCTCCAACAGTAACTTTGCATGAACTCATGTGTTCTGTCAATCGAGAAAAATGGCAAGTCTCAATCATTTTAGGAGGTTTATTTGCCAAAGTTAAGAATAAGCACCCAGGAGACAGGTCTATACCTTTCTCCGAAGATAATTTTGAGGGCTCTAAATTTAAGGGGAAAGGGTAGGGATATTGAGAAGTACACAATTTTCATGTAAGAGGAGGGTAAGGAAAAATAGTCATTCATGCCTTTGTCTGGCTCAGTTAATCTGCATTTTTTTTACATAAGATGACATAGACAAAACGGGGGAAGGGGAACAATTAGATATGCGTTTGTGGCCGGGCGCGGTGGCTCATGCCTGTAATCCTAGCATTTGGGGATGCTGAGGCAGGCAGATCACTTGGGGTCAGGAGTTTGAAACAGGCCTGGCCAACATGGTGAAACCCTGTCTCTACTAAAAGTACAAAAAAAAAAAATTAGCCAGGCATGGTGGCAGATGCCTGTAATCTCAGCTACTTGGGAGGCTGAGGCAGGAGAATCACTTGAACCCGGGAGGTGGAGGTTGCAGTGAGCCAAGATCGCGCCACTGCACTCCAGCCAGCATGACAAAGCGAGACTCCGTCTCAAAAAAAAAAAAAGAAAAAAAAAAAAGATATGCATTTGTGTCTTCTGGGCAGGGGCGTGACTACACCTGTAAAGATAAGCTACCAATTTACATTGCCATGGTAAAATTTTAACAGAAACACCTTAGAGTAAAGATCTTGCAGCTCACAAGGACTTTCCTTGTGGACAAAATATGAGGGAGGCATGTAGCTTTTCATTTTGTAGCCATCTTATTTAGGAACCAAAAAGGGGGAGGCGGGTTTTCGCAACCCCGTTCCCAGATTAACTTTTCCCTTAGGCTTAATGAGTTGGAGTCCCAAGATTTAATTTCCTTTCATAGTTCTAAAACTATGACCAAGTGTTCATTTCTTCCTGATAGGCACTTAGCACACTGACCATGTGCCTTAAATTGTCCATATGATGCGAAGAGCTATAAATCCATGGAGTCGTAAGTTTGGGGATACCAACCACAATCCATCTGCAGCAGAAGTGGTTCCTTTGGAACCAAGCTTGAACAGGTCTAAAAACTAGGTTGTTCTTCTGGTTTAGTGACAGAGACTACTATCCCAGATGAAAATACAATAGTCTTTTAGTGCTTCTATGCATGGTCATGTCTGTCAGTAGACACTAAAACAATCATAATTCAAGAACAGAGTAAATAGTAACATAGACCCTTCTGGAATAGTTGTCTCTGTCACCAAAACAGAAAAACAAACTAGACTAAATTCAGAGGATGAGGGGAATCAAGAATGGCTTGTGAAGGAGGGAAACAAATATTAGTTACAGTCATAATGACAACTATAATAGTAGACACTGTAGCAAATTTCACTAACTTTCTTGCCTTAATCTTCTAGATCACAATTGATCACTCTTGTACCTCCCTTCTTGAGGAAAAATTAAAATGTGTTAATTTTCTCAGGAAAAAAAATGAAAGGCACCATATTGGACTATGGGAGCTTGGAATTCTGAATCACCACCTGGAGAAAAGCGACTCACAAATCTTCAATATCCTCCTTCTGCTACATTAGTGAGTTATAAACTTCTACTATATTTCAGCCACAATACACTTTTTAGTCTATTTGTTGCAGCAGTTTGGCCTATTCTAATTAGTATAAAAAGAAGAAAAAATAATCATAGAAAAAAATTAAATGAAGAATATAACAATTTTAATAGTTTCTCCTGACTTAGACTCACCTGAAATGATCCTCATTCTTTGTTTTAGGATTAGCAGAGATGTAAGACAGAATTTCATGAAAATATTCAACCTGGTGGATGATGCCAAATTAGCAGTTAGCGTGTGTGCCTGGAATTCAAACCATACAAATCCTCCCTGCCCACCTCTCATCCTATCCTTTAGAGCAGAGCCTGTTTCTCATATATTGCCCCCAAGTCTATATCAATCAAATTAATTTTTATTATCCTGAAAACACCTATAGAAAGACTAACATGTTGAAAGTTATATTTAAATATGGGCACTCTGCTTCATACTCTTTTGCCAATATTACTTCAAAGCTGTACAAACCTATATTCTTTGCATTTGTGGGAAATTATTATATTGTAGATAAGGCTAAAATATTTTGTGAATCAAAACATACTATAAAAAGTTGGAAAGAAAGACTTCATTTGGATGTAAATACATGAAAATAGCAGCCCAGACACTCAAGACAAGAGGAATAATAACTAAGTGACCACAAAGGAAATTTTTTATCACATGCCTGGCTGTTCCAGACAGGGAAGCTTGCTTTACCTGAAGGAAGTGGTCACTAGACCACAATGTAACCAAATACAGGATTCTGCTTTAAAAAAAAAAAAAAAAGATTCACAAAAGTCACGTTCAAGTTAAACCATTAAATACTTTCCTCTCCAACTAATGAGAAGATGTGGGGCCTCATTAATTCTCTCTGGCAGATTAGGTCAATGAATCCATTCCAGAAAAAAAATTATTGAAAAGAGCAATAAATATACAAAATATCAAAGCAGTCATGTGTGCAATCCACAGAAAAGAATAGAAATTTACTTAAGGACAGAAAGAAGTTTAGTAAACAATGATACCACTTTCTTGGACAGGGCAATTTGTGTCACTTTTCCAGACAAAATACACGGACTTGGTGATGCTTTAATCTAAATAGTAATAAGACAGTTTTATTAACAAAATGTTTCTAACTTTCAAGAGCGGTATACAAAAACAACTATTGATAAAAATAAGGAGAGGTACTCTAATAGATGTTTACAAATGATTATAAAGCTAAACAATTAAAACATGTTCATAGTGCCCCAAAAAAAGGACAACTGTGGAATGATATTGGCTGCACATAAACAGAACCTAATTTATGCCACAATTAATGAAATTGAAAATTTTGTTTACAATAGCCCCCTCTTATCCATGGGAGATATGTTGCAAGGCACCCCAAAGGATGCCTGAAGGCATGTACCAAACTCTGTATATGCTATGTTTTTCTACACATACAAACATATGATATAGTTTAATTTACAAATTGTGCAGTCATAGGTTAACAACAATAACTAATAATAAAATAGAACAATTATAACAATATACTGTAATAAAAGTTATGTAAATGAGATCTCTCTCTCTCTTTCTCTGTCTCTTTCTCTCTCCCCTCTTCTCAAAATATCTTATTGTACTAAACACCTATATTTTCACACTGTGATTGATTGACCACCAGTAACTGAAACTGTGGAAAGTGAAACCATCGATAAGGGAGGACCACTGTATTACATTTCTAGGAAGTCGCAAACCCTTTGAGAAAATTTTGGGATGGGAGACAAACATATTTCTAAGAAGCCTTCAATGTTACAGGTTATATTCTTCACTTCTTCAAGGTACATAAGGGCCCACTCTACTCTTCTGGAGTCTATCCAAATTTGTAGGGTAATGGGCTGTAGCTAATGAGGAATGGAACTCAGTGGGATGTAAGGGGTCCGGAAACAAGTTTTTTGAAATATACTTGATTGTCATGACACCAATATGGAACGAAAGAGAAAGCAGCATAGTGATAAGGAAATTATGGTGAGATTTTTAGGACAAGAAGCTATTTTAAAAGAATTTTAAATCATTTTTCTTGGTGTTAGAAATACAATCCTAATTTGATATTTTTCAAGAGGTTGCAATATAATTTGAAGTATTTGAAATGGAGTACGGGGAAATTTGCTCTGGCCTCTCTAAAGAACATCATACTGGGACTGCTTTCAAGGATAGAACAAGTTATCCTGCATTTATGTTGGATAAATTAAGAATGTAGTGCATAATAAAGCAAACTTTTAATCCAGTGGAATAGGAAAAATTACTAAAAATAGTGTTGGGTCAATTAGTGAGTTAGTGGGATAGTAAAAAGAGCCCATACATACACACATACAGAGATTATACTGAGGCAGATTAAAAGTTTAAATGAGAAGGAACTCAGAACTGAGGAGGAACCACCCAGAACATGCTTGCTAGTAACACATCTTCCCACCCCCTTATGAATAATCATGTAAGACTCCCATAAAGGGAGTTTCCCCAGTAACATTCAACACTGTCTCACCCGCACAAGCAACCTGCCCTGAATTGTCTCTTGGGGTGTACTGTTGATTCTGCACCTAACTTTCAGAGTATCCTTTCTCCTTTGCAATAAATTGCTCTATGTTGTATCTCCTTTGCTGTGTGTCTCGTTTAAATTCTTTTAAACTAAGAAGACAAGAACCGAAGTTTCATGAAAGCCATCAACAAAAATATAGAAAAAAAAAGTAAATATTTATTTTATTAAAAAGTGGTGAGATGAGTTTAAATAACAAAACAAAGAAAGAAACCGTACAGGAAAGTATTCTTAGACTATACTAAGAAAAAGTAAAGAATTAATATGTGAAAGGTATATCAATTTTAAGCATTCTGTTTATGTCAAAGGTGCTTATGGTGCAGTATGTAACATTTAAATAAACAAAGCATATTGTATTAATTTTCTAGCCACTGTCATAACAAATTAGTAGAAACTTTGCAGCTTAAAACAACACCCATTTATTATCTCAGTTTTCTAGGTCAGAAGTCTAGGCAAAGCTCAACTGGGCTCTCTGCTTAGGATCTCACAAGACTGAAGTCACACGCTGACCTTATAATTCTCATTTGAATATGGAGTCCTCTTCCAAGCTCACTGCCTGTTGACAGAATTTATTTCCACGTATGACTGAGGTCCATGTTTTCAAGCTGGCTATCAGCCAGGGATCAGTATCAGCTCCCAGTAACCACTCTCAGTTCCTTGCCACATGGCCCTCTACGTCTTCAAAGTCAGTAATAGGGAGTCTTTCTCATGTTTAATCTCTCTCTTCAAGAAAAGTTCAGTCCCTTTCAAGGGCTCACCTAATTAGTTCATGCTCACCTACAATAATTTCCTTTTCATAAGGCTAATTGCAGTCAAAACATAACCCAATCACAGTAGTGATCATACCATTAAATTTACTGGTTACTATTGGGAGCAAGCCCCCCAAAATCTGGCCATAAACTGGCCCCAAATTTATGGCCCCAAATTTATGGCCCAGTTTATGGCTATAAACTGGGCCATAAATAAAATCTCTGCAGCACTATAACATGTCCATAATGGCCCTAACACCCAAGCTGGAAGGTTGTGGGTTTACGGGAATGAGGGCAAGGAACACCTGGCCTGCCCAGGGCAGAAAACCACTTAAAGGCATTCTTAAGCCACAAACAAAAGCATGAGCAATCTATGTCTTAAGGGCGTGTTCCGGCTGCAATTAATTCAGCTCATCCCTTCATTTCCCATAGGAATACTTTTAGTTAATTTAATATCTATAGAAACAATGCTAATGACTGGTTTGCTATTAATAAATATGTGAGTAAATCTCTGTTCAGGGCTCTCAGCTCTGAAGGCTGTGAGATCCCTGATTTCCCACTTCACACCTCTATATTTCTGTGTGTGTGTCTTTAATTCCTCTAGCGCTGCTGGGTTAGGGTCTCCCTGACAAAGCTGGTCTCGGTAGGTTCCACCCACATTTAAAGGAAAGGAATTTTATAAGGTATGTACAACAGGGGGTGATAGATATTCCTGGGGGCCATCTTAGAATTCTGCTTTCCTTCTCACCTCTTCAGCCCTCTGGCCACCTGTAATTCATGTCCCTCTCAAATGTAAAATACATTAATCCCTTCTCAAGGACCCCCCAAAGTCTCATTCCATTACAGCCTCAGATCAAGGCCAATATCCTGTCTAAATCTTGTTAGCTCAAAGTCCAAATTCGCAGTGCCTTCATGCCAAATTACAGGACTTGAAGATGTGAGAATTAGGAACTTGACAGAATATCTAATTATAATTGCTAACAGTCATGAGATTAGTTTATTAATTAAAATCTCACCTGGGAACCAAGTGTATAAATGTCATTGAATCCCTGGGGATAGAGACAGGGAAGCACAGGGATCTGATGATATTCATAGTCACTTAACAAAAAAGACTAGTTGGTATTTTTTTCACCCACACCTAGCTTTGCTGGCATTGAGAAGACACACCTAAGAGAATAATTAATCATACCTACAGGACTCCTTCTTCACCGAGACAGAATAACAATGAAGTCATTATTATTGGTGTCATCTGCACTCTACTTATTTATACTTCATATACTTACATAGTATATACCAGAACACTTAAATTAATTTCATCTCCAATTACTGTATATTCTTTTTTTTTTTTTGAGACAGAGTCTCACTCCATTGCCCAGGCTGGAGTGCAGTGGCACAATCTTGGCTCACTCTGCAACTTCCATCTCCTGGGTTGAAGGGATTCTCCTGCCTCAGTCTCCTGAGTAGCTGGGATTACAGGCATGTGCCACCACACCCGGCTGATTTTTGTATTTTTAGTAGAGACAGGGTTTCCCCATGTTGGCCAGGCTGGTCTCAAACTCCTGAACTCAGGTAATCCGCCTGCCTCGGCCTCCCAAAGTGCTGTGATTATTTTGTATTCTACATGTCGATTTTGCTGTCTTAATTAATTTCCTGATGATTGTAATAGAATACCTGAAACTGGGTAATTTATAAAGAATCAAAATTTATTTCTGGAGGCTGGGAAGTCCAAGAGCATGGTGCCAGCATCTGGTGAGAGCCTCCTTGCTAGTGGGGACCCTCTGCAGAGTCCCATTGTGGTGCAAGGCATCACATAGCAAGCAGGCTGAGAGGGCTACCTCAAGTATCTCTTTCTCCTCTTATCAAACCCTTAGTGCCCCATCACCCCATCCTCATGACCTCATCTAATACTAATTACTTCTCACATGTCCCACCCCTAAAATATCATGGTCTGTTTTCTTACCCTTTTATACTGTTACAATAGGGATTAAGTTTCTACATAAGATTTAGAGGAGCAAACTTTCAAACCATAGCATTTCACCCCTGCAGCCTCAAAACTCATATTCTTCTCACATTCAAATACATTCATTTTATCCCCAGAGCCCCAAAGTCTTAACTTTCTCTAGTACCAACTCAAAAGTCCAAAAGTCCAAAGTCCTTATCTGTGAGCCTGAGATACTAAAGCCAATTATCTACCTCCAAGATATAATGCTGGGACAGGAGAAATGGGCCAGAAGAAAGAAGTAACAGGCCTCAAGGAAGTCTGAAACTCAACAGGGAAAGACATTAAATTTTAAATCTGGAAATAATGTCTTTTGACTCCATGTTCCTCATCCTGAGCACACAGGGGCAGAAGTTGGGCCCCCAAGACCTCAGGCAACCCTGCCCTCATGGCTTTGCTGGTTGCAGCCCACATATGGCTGTTCTCATGGGTTGGAGTCAGGTGCCTTGGGTTTTCGAAGCTGGGACTGCATGCTGGTAGCTCTACAGTTTTGGAGTCTTGGTGGCAGTCCCACTGTCACAGCACCACTAGATATTTCCCTGGGGAGGACTCCCTGTAGCAGTTCCAACCCCACAGTTCCTCTCAGCATTGCCCTAGCAGAGGCTCTTGGTGGTTGAAGGGGTGGGTCGCCCCTCCACACCTGTGGGTGTTTCTCGTTAGGTGGAACGAGAGACTTGGAAAAGAAAAAGACACAGAGACAAAGTACAGAGAAAGAAATAAGGGGACCCAGGGGACCAGCGTTCAGCATATGGAGGATCCCGCCGGCTTCTGAGTTCCCTTCGTATTTATTGATCATTCGTGGGTGTTTCTCAGAGAGGGGGATGTGTCAGGGTCACAAGACAATAGTGGGGAGAGGGTCAGCAGACAAACACGTGAACAAAGGTCTTTGCATCATAGACAAGGTAAAGAATCAAGTGCTGTGCTCTAGATATGCATACATATAAACATCTCAATGCTTTACAAAGCAGTATTGCTGCCTGCATGTCTCACCTCCAGTCTTAAGGCGGTTTTTCCCTATCTCAGTAGACGGAACGTACAATCGGGTTTTATACCAAGACATTCCATTGCCCAGGGACGGACAGGAGACAGATGCCTTCCCCTTGTCTCAACTCTTATACTAATCCTCCTCAGCACAGACCCTTTATGGGTGTCGGGCTGGGGGATGGTCAGGTCTTTCCCTTCCCACAAGGCCATATTTCAGACTATCCCATGGGGAGAAACCTTGGACAATATCTGGCTTTCCTAGGCAGAGGTCCCTGCGGCCTTCCACAGTGTTTGTGTCCCTGGGTACTTGAGATTAGGGAGTGGTGATGACTCTTAAGGAACATGCTGCCTTCAAGCATCCGTTTAACAAAGCACATCTTGCACAACCCTTAATCCATTTAACCCTGAGTTCGACACAGCACATGTTTCAGAGAGCATGGGGTTGGGGGTAAGGTCATAGATTAACAGCACTCAAGGCAGAAGAATTTTTCTTAGTACAGAACAAAATGGAGTCTCCTATGTCTACTTCTTTCTACACAGACACAGTAACAATCTGATCCCTCTTGCTTTTCCCCACAGTGGTGGCCCTGCCCCTGTGGCAGTTTTCTCCCTGGGTTCCCAGGCAGTCTGATACATCCTTTGAAATCTAGGTGGAGATTTCTATGCCTTCCCACTAGTCTTGCATCCTGAAGACCTGCAGAAATAGCACCACATGCATGTGGACATTGCCAAGGCTTACTGCTTGTGCCCTCTGCAGCTACAATATGAGTCACATCTAGGGCCACTTGAGCTATAGCTGGAGCAACCAGGATGAGGGAAGCACTGTCCTGAGGTGGCATTGGGCAGCAAGCCCATGGAGGACACCCCAGGCCTGTCTCCTGAAACCATTCTTTCCTCCTAGAGCTCTGGGCCTGTGATGGCAGGGGTAGACTTGAAGATCTCTAAAGTGCATTCAGTGTTTGTCTCCCATTGTCTTGATGAATAGCTTCTGGCTTTATTCTATTCATACAATTCTCCTTATCAATCAATCCCTCCTTATCAATCATTCCTTCAGACACACCCTTGGTTTCCTCTGTTGAAAATGCTCTTTCAGGGCGAGGCTGCAAAATTTCCTAATCTTTCCACTTAGCTTCCCTTTTAATTATAAATTCCACCTTTAAGTTATTTTTTACCTCTCACAGCTTTAATGTAAGCAGTTAAAAGTAGCCATGCAGCTGCCTGACTGCTTTGCTGCTTAGATATTTCTTCTGCCATATAGCCTAATAAAACCATCAGATATAGACACAATTCAGAGCCAAGTTTTTCACCCATTTATTACAAGGATGGCCTTTACTCCAGTTTCCAATTCCTTGTTCCTTAGACCTGAGACCTCAGCAGAACAGCCCTTACTGTCCATATTTCTATTGACATTCTGGTCCTGACCACTGAAATCATCACAAAGGACTTCCAGACTTTTCCTAGTCTTCTTGACTTCTTCTAAGCCCTCACCAAACTCACCCTTTATCACCAGAATTGACATTTAAGGCAATACAGGCTTTTTCTCGCCTGCTCCTTTGAGTTCTTTTAACCTCTACCCATTACCTAGTTCCACATCTGCTTCCACATTTTCAGATATTTGTTATTAGCAACAGCCCAACTTTTTAGTACCAATTTTCTGCCTTAGTCTGTTTCTTGTTGCTTGTAACAGAATGCCAAAAATTGGGTAATTTATGAAGAAACAAAATTTATCTCTTATGGTTCTGGAGGATGAGAAGTCCCAGAGCATGGTGCCAGCATCTGGTGAGAGCCTTCTTATTGGTGGGCCCTCTGCCGAGTTCTGATGAGGTGCAGAGCATCATGTGACAAGAGGGCAAAGGGGTATGGCTCAAGGTCTCTGTTTCTCCTCTCAATGCCCCACCCTCATGACCTCATCTAATCCTAATTACTTCCCAAAGGTGCCACCTCTCAAATACCATAGTTGGATTTACAGCCCTCTTAATACTATTACTATGGGGATTAAGTTTCAATATGAGTTTCAGAGAAAATAAACATTCAAACCATAGCATTGCCCATCTCTTTTACTCTCCTCCCTCCTCTTCCTTTCTGTACTCCACTGTCCCTGTCCAGAGGTTTTATTTAGCCACTCCACCTCAGCCCATCAGGCTTCCAATCAAAATCCCAGTTTTTCAGTGATCATTCAGATTTATTGTCCTGTTGTAATATCTGGAACAATAACAATCTTCTCAGGACAGTTGTTTTTTATTTGCTTCAGTTCCTTTTGAGAAAGTTATTCTGTGTCTTCTCACTTCCTTATATCTATAGCATACAAGTGTTTGAAAACATTCTCCTCAACCTCCTTTAAAATCATGGGGAGCCCAACCTCAGCTCCTAGCCAGAAGCAGAAAGTCAAAATTTGGCTCTCTTTCCTCCATAGAGCACTTTTGGTTTCTTTCCCACTTAGGAATTAAATTCCCAGTCAATAATGCCTACTTTCAGGCATAGAAGTCAAGACTTCAGCCCTACTCACCATATGCATATCTATCTTATTTGAAGTTCTCAGGAAGAACTTTTGTATCTACACTCATACTTTTTAATCTTTTTTAGTACATTGCTTCATATAGCTTTCTTGGTGGTGGTTGTACTTATTACAATATATACATATAACTTATCACAGTCAATGGTATTGATGTTTTACCACTTTGAGTGAAGCATACAGTCCATACCTCTAGTACCATTAGTATATTTTACCCTCTCTACTTTTTAAATGCAATTGTATTAAGTATTTCTTCCACATATGTTCCCATCCACAGTTTGGATATTTGTCCACTCCAAATCTCATGTTGAAATTTGATCCCCAATGTTGGAGGCAGGGCCTAATGGGAGATGTTTAGACCGTGGGGGCAGATCTCTCATGAATGGCTTTGTACTAATGTCATGATCCTAATGCTTGTTTTATTCCTTAATGTCATCATTGATTCAACCATAGCTTTTATTTTTAATTTGCTTTTTGTTTGTTTGTTTTCTTTTCTTAACTACTATTTTAAGTTCGGGGTACATGTGCAGTTTTGTTACATAGGTAAACTGTGTCATGGAGGTTGGTTGTACAGATTATTTTGTCAAACAGTTATTAAGCTTAGTACCTATTAGTTATTTTTCCTGATCCTCTCCCTCTTCCCACCCTCCACCCTCTGATAGGCCCCAGTGTGTTGTTTTCCTTTATGAATTTCATGTGTTCTCATAATTTAGCTCCTATTTATAAGTGAGAACATACAGTATTCACTTTTCTGTTCCCCCATTGTTTGCTAAGGTTAATGACTTTCAGGTTCATTCATGTCTCTGCAAAGGACATGATTTTGTTTTTTATGGCTGCATAGTATTCCATGGTGTATATGTACCACATTTTATTTATCTAGTCTATCATTGATGGGCATTTAGGTTGATTCCATGTCTTTGCTGTTGTGAATAGTGCTGCAATGAACATATACATGCATGTGCCTTTATAATAGAAAGATTTATATTCCTTTGGGTATATACCCAGTAATAAGATTGCTGGGTTGAATGGTATTTCTGTCTTTAGGTCTTTGAAGAATCTCCACACTGTCTTCCACAATGATGAACAAAACCTCTGGGAAATATGGGGTTATGTAAAGAGACCAAATCTATGACTGATTGGTGTCCCTGAAAGAGAAAGAGAGAATGGAACCAACTTGGAAAACATAGTTCAGGATATCATCCATGAGAACTTCCCCAACCTAGCTAGAGAGGCCAACATTCAAATTCAGGAAATGTAGAGAACCCCAATAAGATACTTCACAAGAATATTATCCCCAAGACACACAATCATCAGCTTCCCCAAGGTCAAAATGAAAGAAAAAATGTTAAAACAACAACAACAACAACAACAACAACTAGAGAGAAAGATCAGGTCACCTACAAAGGGAAGTCCATCAGACTAACAGCAGACCTCTCAGCTAAAACCCTATAAGCAGAAGAGATTGGAGGCCAATATTCAATATTCATAAAGAAAAGAAATTCCAACTCAGAGTTTCATGATTGGCCAAATGAAGCCTCATATTGAAGGAGAAATAAGATCCTTTTCAGACAGGCAAATGCTGAGCAAATTCATTATCACCAGACCTACCTTACAAGAGCTGCTGAAGGAAGCACTAAATATGAAAAGGAAAGACTGTTACCAGCCACTACAAAAACACACTGAAGTACACAGACCAGTGACACTATAAAGCAACCACATAAATAAGTCTGCAAATTAACCAGCTAACATCATGATGACAGGAGCAAATCCACACATATCAATACTAACCTTAAATGTAAATGAGTTAAATGCCCCAATTAAAAGACACAGAGTGACAAGCTGGATAAAGAACCAAGATGTATTGGTATGCTGTCTTCAAGAGATTTATCTCACATGCAATGACACACAGGCTCAAAATAAAGAGATGGTGAAAAATCTACAATGCCTTTTTTCCTTAAAATTTGTTTTCTTTTACACTCAATCTCTGAAGTGACTTTTATGCTTTAGACATATGTCTTGTAAACAGTATAATCTGAATTTGTATTTTTGCATTCAATTTGTCAATCTCTCTCTTTTAATCACAAGTCAAGTCTATTTGCATTTTACTGAAATTAATAACATATATGGACCTTTATATTATCTCACATTTTTCATTTCGGTCTTTTCCATGATTTCAATGACTTTTTTCCTGTTAGCCCATTTCTATAACCCATTCTAGCATGTGTATCAGGCTCGGATGGCAGGTGGATTCATTATAACCTCTACCTTAAGATGTGTTTTCAGACTCTGTTAAGTTTACTTTGCTCATTTCTGGCATCCTCCTTCACATAAGAATTAGTGATCCAGGCCCAGCCATTTGTAGATTTTGAGACATTGTTCTGGCTGTCTGCATATGGCCTGTCTCTGGACTTAACATCCCATGTCCTCACTCAGACTACATACCTTTAGACCCACCCTATTACTATGGACTCCCTGTCTATTTGTATTTTTTCAGCAAAACCTCTAAAAGTAATTATCAATATTCTTGAAACATTAACTTGATAGATTCTTGTAAAATCACATAATCTATTGAAAATTCTATGGGTGCTCTAAACTATACCCCCTGGATAATCTTACCTGTACACAGTTTGAACAGATATCCTTTACAGCTAGAATAATGATACTAGTTAAAATCAGAGGACTAATCTATGGGTAGATCATTTCAAAATTTACTCTGAGGCTTAAAAGGAAATATATTTTGTAAAGCAAGAAAGTATATTTTCCAAGATCCAATTAGCAATGAAGGCATCCTAATAGTATCTGGGATCCTCACATGTGAAAAAAATAAATTAGGTTACAAAAGAGAGAACTTACATACACTTAGTTCTTGCAGGAGGAAAGGAACTATCTAGATGTTGTTATTTTGTTCAAAATAAGTATAAGTACAAAAATCTGTGGTAGTAAATCTAGTGCACTATTCTTACATGTGACACTAATAACCCAAGGAAAAATAATAAAATATTTCTGCTTCTTTTGATATGAGCCTGTCATGGCCTGAATGGAAGTTCACTACTGATAAGCACTTGTTTCTTTATTCCCTTACTCGGCTTTCTTCATTTGTAGCTTCACAGCAAGAATCACAACCTAAAACTGCATTTTATGTCTGTTTATTATGTGACTTTTTTTAGTTCCTGCTAGAATTAAAGCTCATAAAGGTAGGGACACATTTGCCTTTTTGACTAAGTTATCTGGAATAGCATGTATCACTTAGTAGGAGCTAAATAATTATTTGACAAATGAATGGATACATTCATTGATGAATTTGATGTCCACATGATGGCTGTCTTTATTTAAATAAACCCGTTATTTCCATGAGTCACTTGTTCCTCCTGCTACATATAGAGAACTATTATTCAGGATTTCAGTTGAGTTCTAAACAGTTGGATGCTTCCGCAATCAGGGATCTTCAATTTCTCCACTTGGTGTTTTATTCAACAGAAGTGCCTTTGGACATTCACACTTGATCTTCCAAAACCACATCAGCTTCCAGAACGACGCTTCTAGACAGTTTCTTAGTAACCCCTCAAAGACATGATTTCACATTTTTATCAATGTATAATTTTATTTAAACTGAAATGACATAATATTACTGTGTCAAATATTATAGAGAAAGTTGGCCATCTTTGCATATGCTATTTTCCATTTGAGTTTCTTCTGTGAATTACTGTTCATCTACTTTCCAATATTTCAACTAGGTTATTTAATCCATTGATTTGAGCAGTACTTTATTTCTTCCTTTGTGTAATATATGTATTGAAAAATATCCAAATATACTTCATAACTATGTTGCCCAAATTTTGTAATGCATACTAACAAATATCTGTTATATTCATTTTTAAGAAATATACTAAAATGTAATAACTTGTATTTTCTCATCCCACTTTGCTTTTCTAAACAGTATTTATGTATTTCAACTTTTTTACAGTTTAAATACAATATACTTAGGTGTAGGTTTTCTTTGCTTTTTTTAAATACAGGGATTATCTATGGAGGAACTAAACATAGTAATATAATAAAATTGCAAGAAGGATGCCAGAGACATATAATTGTTGGTGGTCTAAATTATCTGCTTTCAGATAATTAGAAAACTGATGTCTAAATTAATACCCCACATACACAAAGATACACATATTACCATTAAAAGTCATTGAGCTGGGGATAATGCTAGTGGAGGAAAGGAATGGCATGAAGGGCTCTTGTTTTCATTAAAATACATCTTTATTGTTTAATCCTCAAACTATGTACAGGTATCCTGATAAATTTAAAATACTAATTGCAAAATAAAATTTAATTCTTACTGAAATATCAAGAATGCTGCAGATGGTGGCAGAATGCTCAATGTGAAAAAGGATAGTGGCTTGCATTAGAATGACAGCAGCGAAGTTTGTTTTAAGCATGTAATTTTATAGTACCAATCTCTTATCTGTGAAAGCGTGTAAAAGACTGAGCTCTTCAGTTCTCAAACAAAAGCAGACTTTAACTCCTGCTCCAGCCATGCTTCTTTGCTTCTCAAACACCCACAACCACATCTCAGATTGCATCATATTTTGAACACATGGAAGGAAGAGTAAGGGAAATAAGAGTGGCTGGGTTACCACCCTCAAGAAATGCTGATCCCTCAAATCTAGACCTGCCAAGGGGCCAGGAGAGAAGGGAAAGCAGCAGCTCCCTTGAATTTTTAAAGTGCAATGTCCCCACCTACTGGTGAAGATGACCCAGTTAACATCCCTACAGCTGTCAATGTCTTCCTAGGACATTGACTTCTTCTAGTAGAATCAGTGTGCTTCAGCTCAGTTTTACACCAGAAGATAAACAAAATATAAATCCAAGATTTTTGCAGTGCAGTGGAGGTCTCTGAGGGTGTTGCAATGAGAATTTTAAACACAAAGCTAGTTTTAAAATAACACCATAATTAGCAGTCCCTTTCCCCAGTATCTATCTACTCCTCACAGCTTCTGCTCAGATTGTCTTCTCTCCATTGTCTCTTCCATCGCCCTGTACAAATCTCCTCTCTTACACTGCATTTCCTGCCCACACCCTGCTTCCCCATGCGTTAAGTTAGCAGCCTTTTTTCCCTCTTGTTGTTTTCTGCCTTCTGATATTTCAGATAAGAAATCTGTTTCTGGGCCGGGCGCGGTGGCTCATGCCTGTAATCCCAGCTCTTTGGGAGGCCAAGGCAGATGGATCACCTGAGGTCAGGAGTTCGAGACCAGACTGGCCAACATCATGAAACCCCGTCTCTACTAAAAATACAAAAATTATTCATTGATCATCTACTTGGTGTCCAGCACTAGGTCATTCCTAAGTATCACTGAACTTTGTGATAACGCTGAAGATATGTTTGGAAGTTTCAGAAACCAGAAGAAGAACACGATTCAGGATGTTTCTTCTTGTGACATTTATTTAAATTCTCTGGTTCTTATATTTGAGGGTTGACTGTAGCTGGGGGAGGGTGGGAGAGGGATGGGAAAAAGAAAATGGAAAGATATTCCCTGGAAAAGAAGATAATTGTCTAAGAATTGTTCATTTTTTCCTTGTCTTGGCACTATGAGACACTGGGATATAATATAAAAGGTAACAGATTTTGAGAAAAATGCATTTGTCCCATAGTTGGAGAATTTGTTAAGTTTGTGACCCTCAACAAATCACATATTCTCTGTTAGCCTCAGTCATTTTAACTTTAAAGTTTAGATAGCTTCCATTTGGTGAGATTAATATTAAGATGAAATGAAATTTTATATATGAGACCTACTAATTGCAGATTCTGACAGAGAGCTACAACACCAAAACTAAGCCCTGTTATGTGCTTCCACAGGGGACAAAATAGAGGCTGTGAAAAGTAGATAGTTGAGTAAAGCTCATCAAATTATTTAGTCAGCTACCTCCATTCTTCACCATAAATCTTGCATAACCATTTAGAGGATGCCATCCTGAAAAAGATAATCAGTTTTACAGAGAAGTGTTGGTAGCTCTGAGGCTATTAATAACCCCAGTTACTACAGTAACAACCGGGAGGTGAAACAGATTAATCAGAGGTAAATAGGTTAAAATAAAGGTTATCGGAGTTCTGGGAAATCTCTATCTATCCCAGAGAAGAATAATGCATAATGAGTGGTAAAATATTTGATTTTAAAAATTTAAATTACCCACAAATGATCTCCCATTCTCAATTGCCACAAATAGAATAAAATACCTAGGAATATAGCTAACAAGGGAAGTGAAGAACCTCTTCAAGGAAAACTGCAAATCACTCTTCAAAGAAATCAGAGATGACACAAACAAAGTGAAAAACATTCCATGCTCACGGATAGGAAGAATCAATATCATGAAAATGGCCATACTACCGAAAGCAATTTATAGATTTAATGCTATTCCCATTAAACTACCATTGACATTCTTCAAAGAATTTTTAAAAAACTATTTTAAAATTCACATGGAACCAAAAAAAGAGCTCGAAGAGCCAAGGCAATCCGAAGCAAAAAGAACAAAGCTGAAGGCATCACATTACCCAACTTCAAACTATACTACAGGGCTACAGTAACTAAAACAGCGTGGTACTGGTACAAGAACAGACATATAGACCAATGGAACAGAATACAGAACCCAGAAATAAGACCACACACCTACTAGCATCTGATATTCAACAAATCTGACAAAAACAAGCAATGGGGAAAGGATTCCCTCTTTAATAAATGGTGCTGGGAGAACTGGCTAGCCATATGCAGAAGATTGAAACTGGACCTCTTCCTTACACCATGTACAAAAATCAACTCAAGATGGATTAAACACTTAAATGTAAAACCCAAAACTATAAAGACCCTAGAAGAAAACCTAGGCAATACCATTCAGGACATAGGCATGGGCAAAGATTTCATGATGAAGATGCCAAAAACAATTGCAACAAAAGCAAAAATTGACAAATGGGATCTAATTAAAGTAAAGAGCTTCTACACAGCAAAAGAAACTACCAACACAGTAAAAAGACAACCCACAGAATGGGAGAAAATTTTTCAATCTATGCGTCTGACAAAGATCTACAATTCAGCATCTATAAGGAACTTAAATTTACAAGAAAAAACCCATTAAAAAATGGGCAAAGGACATGAACACATACTTCTCAAAAGAAAACATGCATGTGGCCATGAAACATATGAAAAAAAGCTCAATATCACTGATCATTAGAGAAATGCAAACCAAAACCGCAATGAGATACCATCTCACACCCGTAAGAATGGTTATCATTAAAAAGTGAAAAAACAACAGATGCTGGAGAGGTTGTGTTGGTGGGAGTGTAAATTAGTTCAACCATTGTGGAAGACGGTGTGACAATTCCTCAGAGACCTAGAGACAGAAATACTGTTTGACCCAGCAATCTCATTACTGGGTATATAACCAAAAGAATATAAATTACTCTGTTATAAAAGACATATGCATGCATATGTTCATTGCAGCACTATTCACAATAGCAAAGACATGGAATCAACCCAAATGCCCATCAATGGTAGACTAAATAAAGAAAATGTGGTGCATTATGTAGCCATGAAAAGGAATAAGATCATGTTCTTTGCAGGCACATGGATGGAGCTGGAGGCCATTATCCTTAGCAAATTAACACAGGAACAGAAAACCAAATATCATATGTTCTCATTTATAGGTGGGAGCTGAATGATGAGTTTATAGTTCTCATTATAGGTGGGAGCTGAATGATGAGAACACATGGACACATGGAGGGGAACAACACACACTGGGGCCTGTCGGAGGGTAGGGGATGGGAGGAGGGAGAGCATCAGGAACAAGAGCTAACGGATGCTGGGCTTAATAACTAGGTGATGGGATGATCTGTGTAGCAAACCACCATGGCACACATTTACCTATGTAACAAACCTGCACATCCTGCACATGTACCCCTGAACTTAAAATAAAAGTTGGAAAAAATATATTTAAATTACTATTATATTTATCAAAATTATTATACTTATTGGTATAACAGTAACAGTTATCTTTTTTAGACCTTAATATGTGCCAGACATATTGTACATTAAAATATATTATCACATGTGCTTTTCTTAACAGACTATGAGGTAATTATTATTATCTAAATTTTCAGATAAGGAAAACATCTTTCAGTTTGAGTACCTTGCCCAAGATCACAGCTCATAATTTGTTTTAATGATATACCTTAGATAATCAGTATTAAAATTTACATAATACTTCAGTCATTTACACTAATAAGAAAAGTGTTTGAGCAAAATATTAAAAAAACAAAATTACATAATTTCAAATAACACAGCTTTTATTAACCCATTAAATTTATTACAAGGAACCAGTCTAAGGACTGTTGATTGAATCAAAAGAGTGATGGTGACATTCTCTTTCTAATTGTCTTGAAATTAATACAAAACACTAATTTATATCACATATTATTCATATGAATTTAGTTAGCAACATATATTAATTGATTATGTATAAGTGCTTTCAAAATACTTATGATGTTTGAAAATTAGACACACATTCGTATTTTAATGCCCCAGTTACACCTCTCCCAATGTATTACTGAGTAATCTTTTCAATTTTTATTGCGCAAACAGAATCTCAGGTAAGTCTTTGAATTAATTAATGCTGGTGATTAGCAAATAAACACCCTTTATGTTTCATATGTCATGCACAATTAAGGACCTGAAATTAATTGAGGAGAATAGAGAACCTGCATTAACGAGACATTCCCTTGCTACCACTGTTGTAAGTATCCAGATAATTTGGGGGTTCATTATAGACATGGAAGAAGTATTTTGTATAAGGAGAATCTTCCCATGTCTGCCTTTGGTTTTGCTCTCTCCCCATTACCCTTAGTTTTATGATTTTCTCCTTTTTCAAATCTAAAGTGTTCACAGATCAATCTGAAGAATTCCATATGGATTCAACAGAAATTTACTAAATGCCTAAAATGTGCTAAAGATATAGACAAAATAACTGCCTCTGTTGTGTATGTATATTTTGGGGGAGGAAATACACTAAAATATTTTTTAATCAAATATTTTACCAGCCATTATGCATCAGTCACTCTCTAGGTGCCAGGAATGTTGCATGGAAGGAAAATGGGCATGGACTCTGCCTCATGGGGCTGAGACTGTAGTAGACATGACAAACAGTTGTCTTTTGTTTTCCTATCATGTTAAGATCTGGGAGAGCATTCCAGGCAAAAGAGAGTGCAAGGCTCTGGAGGACAGTGTGAGCTTCATGAAAGAATAAGAAGGCCAGTGAGGCTGGAACAGAACGGGTTGGTTGGACAATTATAGGAGACAAGATTGGACAAGTACACATGTAAGACATGGTAAGGAGATTTGATTTTATCCTAATGGTAATCAGATCAAATATCTCTACCCTAACACTTCACTGTCACATTTCATAAAGATATATACAAATGTGAAATCTTCCAGTGAATTTTTTCTGCTTTTTTTTTCTAAACAAACCTTCATATTCTCAAAACTAAGGAGATAGCACCCAAGAGCAGAACCTAAGAAGAAGCAAATAGAAAAAGAGAAATTAGGAAATAAGAAAGTTAGCAGTTTTCTTTGATAGCAAGTGGAGGAATTAAACATTCCTACACTGGGCTGGGCGTGGTGGCTCGCGCTTGTAATCCCAACACTCTGGGAGGCCAAGGTGAGAGAATCGCTTGAGCTCAGGAATTCAAGACCAGTCTGGGCAACATAGTGAGAGCCCTATCTCTACAAAAACTTTAAAAAGAAATTAGCCGGGCCGGTGGAATGTGCCTGTCGTCCCAGCTACTAAGGAGGCTGAGGCGGGAGGATCATCTGAACCCAAGAGGTCAAGGATGTAGTGAGCTGTGTTTGTGTCACTGCACTCCAGCCTGGGTGACAGAGACCCTCTCAAAAAAAAAAATCCTACATTGGAAGAAAGGAGAAATAACTTCTATTTTTACATTACTAAAGGGGAAAACACGAAATACAAAGCTGTCACCTGGCTTCCGTCAACAGTGATCTGATGATGAACGGTGTCCCCTCAGAATATAAAGGTGTTCTTTGAACGTTCACAGGAGCGATACCTAACCCGGATCATAGAGGGTGTTTGTGTTCCGAGGACACTAAATTTGAGTCCCTGCATGCATCACACAAGTCTTCGCCCAAACTACCATTTGCAGGCTCACTTCTTAGCCCCACCCCTACTGAGAACGCAGAGCCATTTGCACGCTTCCTGTCCTTGGAAACGGAAGAAACTTCAATTACATGATGGCTTTATGCTACCTAGACCTCTTTCTTCAGTCTTTGGCATGTTCTAATCTCGGAGGCGACTTTAC
The DNA here is from genome assembly GCF_000001405.40 of Homo sapiens. NCBI lineage: Eukaryota > Metazoa > Chordata > Mammalia > Primates > Hominidae > Homo > Homo sapiens. The sequence goes on from NT_167244.2 coordinate 4,097,457, forward strand.
ACAGATGGCAATAGCATTCGCAGCTTGGAGGTCTTTTACCAGTGGCTAAAACTTGATCCAACAGCCTCAGCCGGTTCCCCCTGACTCCAGCCCTCTAGATGCTTCTCAACATCACCTTCATCTCCTTTCCTTTATTCAGGACAGTCGTGCCAAGAAATGCCTAAGAGAAGGGTGACCCTGGAAATGTCTTGACTCTGGGAAGATCTTCTAACCACTCCACATGGTAATAAGCACAGTGTTGACAGGTGTGAGGACTGAAGTGGGAGATCAAAGAGGAAAAGCCACGAATGAGGGTGTGAGGGGCAGTCAAGAGAAGCTCCCAAGGGAGCATGATCTGTGTAAATGCAGATTCTCTGGGTATTGGAAGATCCTTGGGGACAAATGCCAAGAAGACACCAACTTCTTTTATCAGCATCTCTCAGAATCCATGCCCTGTGGGTAGTTATATGTGAATATCAGAATCGCCCTCCACTGCCAGGGAGACCCAAGGCTTAATCTTGTATCTAATTTGGAAACAAAAAAAAATGTATATGATGAAATTATTCTGTAGTTTTGCTTGTAGCAGCCTCAGTTATCTTAAATATTCCTCCAACACATTATTTTCTTTATTAACTGTTACTATGCCCATGGCATTCATCACTCTGACACTTTCATAATGGATTATGAGGCTTGTACTTGTACTGATTTATTTATGTATTTGTCTCTGTTTGTTTTTTAGAGATGCGGGGGGTCTCACTGTGTTGCCTAGGCTGGTCTTGAACTCCTGACCTCTAGTGATCCTCCCGCCTGGGCCTTCCAAAGTGCTCAGATCATGGGCATGCACCCAGCCACATTTTTAACCTATGTAAATAGAGATGGGGGGAAAAAACAAAAAAACTCCAAAGCATTTTTCCTTCTGTCTTACACAGTTACTTCTGACATCAGGTATGTGGAGATTTTTCCCCCACACCAAGCAATTCTCCAGCAGACACCGGGTTCCTCTAAATCAATTCAATTCTGATACTATTTACCTAAAAATAGCATCAGATCCCACAGATTGAGGGATCAGTCATGCAAAACTGCCCCCCTCCCACTTCAGATGCCAGTTGCTATCACCTGTACTTCTGACCATCCAATTATAGATTGGAGGTTCCCACAAACCTTTCCTCAGGTTCAATTAATTTGCTAGAGCAGCCCAAAGAATTCAGGGAAACACTTACTTACATACACTGGTTTATTACATAGGATAAGACAAAGGATACAGACGAACAGATTAATAAAGAAAAACAAAACACATAGGACAAAGTATGGGGGAAAGAGTGCGGAGCTTCCACACCTTCTTCAAGAGCCTATCCTCCAGGCATCTTTCCGTGTTCTGCTATCTGGAAACTCTCCAAACTCTGCCCTTTTGGGTTTTAATGGAGGCTTTGTTATGTCAGCATGGTGAGTTGATTAAACCATTGGCCATTGGCAGTCAACTCAACCTTCAGCCCCTCCCTTCTCCCCAGAGATTGTGAATGGGCTGAAAATCCCAACCCTCTAATCCTGCCTTGGTCTTTCTGGTGACCAGCCCCAGCCACCAGTCACCTCATTAGCATGCAAAAGACACTCTTATCACTCTGGAGATTCCAAGAGTTTTAGGAGCTGAAGGGCAGGAACCAGGGTCAGAAACCAAATATATACTTCCTATTATATCACAATATCACACACACTAGCTTGGGTCAATCAGTTGCATTAATTATTTGTGTATGATGTGAAGTACTCTTTTTAGTCACAAATTTATTTCTTTCAAATTACCAGGTAGGAAGTCAAAGGGAAAATTCTTTATTTCACTTTTGGAAAACTAATGAATAAACTAAATTAGTAATTGCATGCTATTTCCACTTCTGTAAAAATGATATAGACCCTATATGCCTGTTATGAATAATAGATGAGCTTTGCAATGAAGAGATATGCATGTTACTTTTTATTAGAATGAGTATGGCTTCAATTTTTATGTGACTATCAAAAGAGAAATATGGTTCTTTTTTCTAATTTAGAGTTTATCTAATAATGGTCCGTGAGCTCTTGTGACCTCTCTTTAAACTAAGGTACATCTCACTGTTTCAACTCATGCCTCTGTGTCCTGCTCAGTGATTCACCATCTCCCTATACAAGAGATCCCCGACCTAGCAAGCTCATCTACAAACAAATATTCTTATTCTTGGAACAGAGTTGCCAAAAGCACAGGCACACAGAAAAACAAGTCTGTGTTTGAGAGCTCAGGAGAGAGAGGAGCCAAAAGAAACATCTACCAGCAGCTAAATGATTTGGTTCCTGAAGGGATTCACTTCCATGAATAAGAATACGAGTAGGTACTCTCATTGGTACTTCTTCCTCATCTGTAGGTACCTGAGATGACTGTGTCCTCTAAAGCTTCTGTGATGCTAGATGCACCCAACATCATTTTCTATAATTGAGGATCGTAGCTTTCCCCTGTGATCCTCTGGCTGTATTGTGGGAAGATAGTCAAAAAATCATCTTTTAAAGTAGGAAATAAACTTCTTTTTATAGAATCAGCTCCCCTTCCTCTGCGCTTGTGGTTTCCATTACTATAAAAGAGAGCACTGAAGTCCAAAGAAAGTACTGTGTATTTCCCTTTTGGGGCCCTGATGTCCTGCCCATGGCATTCATGCCCCCAAAATTGTTTCATGCCACCATGAAATTGCCTCCACGTGGTGCCCATCTTTTTCCCTTCACTCATATTCTCAACATTTCCAGAACCAGAGAGAGAGAGACGGAGAAACAGAGAAGTTCTGACCTCAACACCACCTTTTCCTACAGAATATGTGGCACCCGTATTTTGTCAGAGAAGACAAACGTGTTGTTCCTCAGATTGGTAGGATTCATGGGCATTTCATCCTCATAATATGAGGTTGTATGCAGACAGTGCCTCCTGGTATCGAGAAGCCATGTGAGTTACACCACAGAGGAGAGGAAGTTAGGGGTTTCAAATATTTCAAAGAATAAGGAAGCTAAGTCATACTCAGAAGTTAAGAAGAACTTTGGGGAGAGAGGAAGTCAAAATACAGAAATGCATTCAAAAAAAAAGTTTAGGATGTAGAGGAGGATGGGATCACCATGAGACAGCCGTCCAATGCCCATGATAGTTCCTGTTACAGTAAGCCACGTCTTCAGATAGAGAGAGAAAAGGCCACATGTATACTTGCCTTGTATGAATGAGCACTGTTGTTTGATGAATTCCATCTCTTCCCCTCTTTTCAGTCCCTTCATCCTCATTGTAATAACAAGACTGCTGGTGATGTGGCCATGCAGAGCTCTTGTCCCTCATGTTCTTTCCACCTCGATCTTTCACTTTTCTCTATTTCTGCTTCTCCTGGTCCTACCTGGGCTCTCCCCAAGGGCTGCTCCTCACCGGGCAGCTAGTTACACGGCCACCACCACCCTGCCATCTACACAGAGGCCCTCCATCTCTCTGTGACCATTTTGATGAGATCTCTTTTTTTCATGGCATCCATCTTGGCAGTAGCAAGTTCATAGCCCAGAGTAAGAGGATTACCTGTTGGGATGCACAAAGGAATTTAAACCCCATTAAAATTTGTGACCCAAATCATTGTTTATGCTTAACAGAAATAGCAGCAATAAGATCGATTGAGGAATTATCTCACGTACTAAAACAGAAGACCTATCATTTTGTGGGAGGTAGTAGCCATGAATCCAAATCAAGCCTAGTAGTAGTACATTCCCCAGCGTGCTCAGAATATGCATAGAGAGTTTAAATCAAGGCGTAAGAGTTTCCAACCCTTCTATCTGTATGGCCAAGCCCCATTCATGTTAGTGCTGGAAGCATTCTTCCTGTATCTCATTGGTTTCTCGGGTACTTTTTCTCAATGTCTCCATTTAAAAACGTTTATATAGAGTTCTGGTTTCTGCTTGGGGATGCAGAGAACTGGAAACAGTGATGCTTCCTTGCAACATGAAAGAAATCACACAAATTGCAAGGTCGCAATTTTTTTCAACCCATCACAGAGCTGGGATTGAGCTTCCAACTAGCTTGAAATCTAGGAGAGTTGTCGCCTGAGTGCTTGCTTACCTAAGGCAGGTACAGCTGGGCACTGGTAAGAAGAATTTAGCTGGAATCATTTAAAAATTGACTGAGGTCAAATGTGGGCTGGAAAGAGTACAGAGTCCCAGGGGCTCACGAGTATAGGGCGGTTCACACCTTCTTGCAAGCTTCGTATCCGGGAATGCCAGTGGGTGTTCACAAATAAAAAATGGGAGAGTCCTGAGAAGGCATTCCGCATGCTTTTCAAGGAAAAGAATAAATAGAAGTTAAAGGCTTTATACATCGATGTGCATCAAATGAGTTAACTAGCAGAATATAAGGGAAGCAAAGACTTTACTATCTCATGTTGAGAGCAGACTACATACTCAAACCCTATTTCGTCTGTTTTTTGTTTGTTTGTTTGTTTGTTTGTTTTGAGATGGAGTCTTGCTTTGTCGCCCAGGCTGCAGTGCAGTGGCGCGATCTCCTCTCACTGCAACCTCCGCCTCCCCATTAGCAGGGATTACAGTCGCACACCACCACACCTGGCTAATTTTTTTTTTTTTGTATTTTTAGTAGAGAAGGAGTTTCACCATGTTGGCCAGGCTGGTCTCGAACTCCTGACCTCATGTGATCTGCCTGCCTCGGCTTCCCAAAGTGCTGGAATACACGTGTGGGCCACTGCGCCCAGCCTCCTCCGTTAATCTATTATCATTCTTCTCTAATATTCTCAAACTTACTTAATTCATTAACATGATATATGTTGACATCTCATTAAATATGTCTCTATTTATGACATACTCAACAACATGTGTGTAGTGTTATAAAATTTTAATTTATTTTATAAATATTTAACACTAACTGAGTGCCAGGCATTCTTCTATGCACTTAAATAGCAGACAGGCATGGTGGCCGACACCTGTAACCCCAGCACTTTAGGAGGCCGAGGCAGGAAGATCACTTGAGCCCAGAAGTTCAAGACCCTGTGGTTTCAGAGGCTGAGGTGGGAAGACCACTGGAGCCCAGGAGGTCAAGACTGCAGCGAGCCATTATTGCACCACTGCACTCCAGCCTGTGGGACAGAGGGAGTGAGACCCTGTCTCAGATGAAAGAAAGACAGAGAGAGAGAGAGGCATAGAGATGCATATGCACACAACGATTACATCGTAGGGCTGTTTAAATTACTCATTCTGGCTGGGGGTCTGTGCTCTAAACCACTATTGGTATGCTATTTCTGTGTGGCTGGTCTGGAAAGCTTCACACCACCCCCCTCTCCCTTCCCTGAATTTCCATATTCCCCCCAACCCTCATTATCCCTTTCAGAGTCTCGCAGGTTGAGGTGATGTGAGAGAGGAAGCAGAAGCGAAGGTTACGCGAGGAAAGCCCCTCGTTAAACTTGGGATTTTCACGGGGACTCAGTCCAGAGGAAGTTGAGAAAACCAACTTAAATTACGGTCTCGATCGCCATCTGGCGGTGGAAGTCCACATTACATCCGCGGAGCAATGGCTGGGAACGTTGCATAATAGAGCGGGGCTCAAATTCCAAATTAAGTTTCTGAATTTTTTCCATCTGGAATTTTATTTGATGATTAGTCTAGCATCGTAATGGTGTCCTTCGTGTTGACGTGAAAACCCAGCCTTCCTTCAGTTCATTTCCCGTTTATTAGGGATGCAAAACTCCAGCCACAGATGACCTACGACTCTGACTCCTTCCCCACCTACTTTACCCTCCCCTCCCCCAGTACATTCTGGGGCTAAACCCTAAGAGGTACCCATGCATCGCTGGGCCGATGATGAAAATGAAGAAGTATTCTGATGAAGCGAGACCCCGGAAGTGCAGCTTCAGGCAAAATCCTGAGCGAATTCTTTGCTGCCAGGACAGTCCATAGGATCTTACTCTTAGAAATTACGTAAGCATGAGCAGTCAACGCTGAAAAGCAGAGAATGTGGTTTTCTGGCGGACTCCAGAGGGAGACCAGGAAATCCTCTCACTTACAATCCATCAAGAGTAGTTCCTCCAAATTGAGTACAAAGTCTCTAAAGGCCAGCAGAGACAAGTAAGGACTTGTAGTGAGCTGCAGCTCACCACCCGGATCAGAACATAAAAGACAGGAGACCTCACGGCCTGGAGACCCACTAGAGCAAAATCTGCCATCCCAGGCAGGGAGGAGAATCAGGCGGAGGCCTGACATGGTGAGGCCTTGCTCCAAGTGGAGAAGGTGCATAAACTTAACAACTTTGTTATTGCCCTGAGGATGTGATGTGGCAAAGGGGACAAGGATTGGATAGATTGTCTTACTGATGGAAGTTGGTAACAAACAAGGCAAATCAAAAAAGAAGCCATGAGATCCAGGGAACTGCTGTACAGGGGACATGGCTGCATAATATTAGTATAGTAACTCATTATGCACTTGTGTGGCAGACAGTGGCTGAATTCTGGAGACGGAAAATATTAATAAGACACGGAGTCCTGCTTACCACCCAGGAGACATATTAGCAAACAAAGGGGCACAGCAGAAATGTGTGTAAAATTAGGACATTGAAGTCACAAACAATTAGGAAAATTTTCTAGTGGAAATGACATTCAAGCTGATCGAGGGTATATGGAGAATGGCTTCCAAGTCTAACAAAGCATGAGCGGCTTGGACACTTGGACAGGCTTCGAGGGAAGTGAAAGTCTTTCGGAATTGGTAAAATGGGTGGGTGACAGATGAAGCAGAGGGCTAGGGATGGATGCCTCACACACCAGGCTAAGGACTTGGGTCTTTGATCTGCAGTCAGTAGGACCAGTATGCAGACTGATAGTAAGGGAAGGGTCATGGGCAGCTTCACGTTTTAGAAAGACTACTCTGATGGGAAGAGTGGGTTAGAGGAGCATAAAATTGAAAGCAGAGAAAGCAGCGTGGGTAACTGTTAGAGTAACACAGACCAGACATGATGGGGCTCGAATTAAAGTAGGATCAGGGATCTAGAGAGAGGGTCAGAGACATGTGAGGGAGCAGATGCAACATGATGTGTCGTCATCCATTGTATATGGGAGAGAGGAGAAGGCGAGAGCAGAAGATGCTTGGGAGACCAAGTGGTTAGTAATTCCAGTCATCAAGAAAGGACAGTTTAAGAGAACATTCCATATTAGACATTTTGTATTTGTAGGGCCTGTGGGTCATCCAGATGAAACTTTACTCTGTGTGGTAGATGGAATAATGCCCCCAACTGCCACCCCTGAAAGATCTGAATCTATGAAACCTGTGAATCTGTTACCTTACATGGCAAAAGGGACTTTGCATTAGTGATTAGATTAAGGATCTTGAGATGGGGAGATTATTCTGGATTAGCCAAGTGGTCCTGATATAATTACATGGGTCCTTCTAAGTGAAAGAAAGAGGCAAGAGAATAGAAGAAGGAGATGTGATATTAGAAGCAAAAATCAGAGGAAAGTGATTGCTGGAAGGGGGCTACAAGCCGAGGAATGCAGCTGGTCGCTGCAAGCTGGAAGAGGCAAAAAACAGATTATCCGCTAAAGCCTTCAGAAGGGGAACACAGACAAGCTAACACCTTGATTAGCCCTGTACAAGTGTTAAAAGAAAAACTTTGAACAAATTAAATTTATTTTGATTTATTTGAGCAAAGCACAATTCATGAATTGGGCAGCATCCAGGACCAGAAGAGGTACAGAGAGCTCCACTGAGCAATAGGGGCAGGCAATATTTATAGAGAGAAAAAGGAAGTGGTATACAGAAGCAGCTTGTTTACAGCTCAGTATTTGCCTTATTTGATCATGGTCTGATCAGTTGGCAACCTGTGATTGCCTGAAGCTTGGCTGCTGTGTTTGCCTGAGACTCAGCTATTTATTACAAGAATATGCTCTTAAGTTAGGGTACAATTTTCTTACACATTAAGTTAGATTTCAGTATACTACGTAGGAATTCAAAGTACAGAGGCCGCTTTAAGCCAAATTTAATTTAATTTAACAGGACCCATTTTAGGCTTATAATTTCCAGAACTGTCCAACAATAAATTTTTGTTGTTTTAAAACACTAAATTGTGGTAATTTGTTACAGCACCAATAGGAAACTAATATATCCTGTAATCACGAAGCAATATAGCTCAAACCTCAGGCTTGGGGACCATATGGATTTGAGTTCTTATCATAGCTCCATCGCTTCCTACCCATATGAACTTGCGTGTCTTAATTAACCTCCCTAAGCCTCCACTTTCTCATTTGTAAAATGGGACTATCTACTAGAATTTCTGTCTGGAAAGAGGAATGGGGAGGCAGTGTGGTCAGCTGTTTTGCATAACAAGCCCTGTAGAAATACAGATGCTCCTTGACTTCAGGTGGGTTTGTGTCCTGATAAACTGCAAGTTGAAAATGCATTCAATACCCCTAACCTATCAAACATCATAGTTTAGCCCAGCCTACCCTCAACATGCTCAGAACACTTACATTAGCGTGGCTGACTGGGAGCTGTGGCTCACTACTGCTGCTCAGCGTCAGGTGAGAGTGTTATACCACATATCACTAGCCCAGAGAAAGACTGACATTTCAAATTTGAAGTACATTTCTTCCAGAATGTGTACTGCTTTCACGCCATCACAGCTGAACAATCTTAAGTGGAACCATCATAAGTCAGGAACCATCTGTATTTGATGTTTTAAACCATGTCATGTATAACTTTTTAAAAAAAAAGATAAAATAATTTTAAATATTAAAATAGGAAAATTTTAAAAAGAAAAAAGACATTTTTTCTTTTCTTTTTCTTTTCTTTTTTTTTTTTTTTTTAGGCAGAGTCTTGTTCTGTCACCCAGGCTGGAGTGCAGTGGCGTGATCTTGGCTCACTGCAAGCTCCACCTCCTGGGTTCACACCATTCTCCTGCCTCAGCCTCCCGTGTAGCTGGGACTACAGGCACCTACCACCATGCCCAGCTAATTTTTCATATTTTTTAGTAGAGACAGGGTTTCACTGTGTTAGCCAGGATGGTCTTGATCTCCTGACCTAGTGATCTGCTCACCTCAGCCTCCCAAAGTGCTGGGATTATAGGCGTGAGCCACATTTTTTATTTTCTAAAATGAAAATGTTGATATTTAATTTTTAATCCCCTTCAAAAAAGCAACTACTCTGTTTATGAGATTTATAGAGAATTCCATATAGTTAATACTAAATACATTCCTACATCAGAATTTGTTTAATACAAAATCAATTATTTAGGTTAAAATGTTAACACTCTTCCACTAAATTACCACTGCAATTGTGTAACTTCAAAATGCTCAGGATATTGTCAACAGAGGAAATAGAAATTGATCTTCTAGCACAATAGTCAAACAAAATTGACTATACAAGATTTTGGATGCTTGTTACACTGTTGACTCAAAACAATTCTAAACAACTCAATGTACTTGATGGACAGAATGTACTAAGAAACCAACAAAAGCAATTCATTTCTTACTTAGCTACATAAGCTAAGTAAGAAAATCGCAAATGCTGACATCAAAGGAAGCTTTCCAAGCATAGAAATAAACTCTGATAGATTATTTCAGATCCAGGATATTTGGAAAATAAATCAGATTGCCTTTTTGGATAATTCCTAAAGAATCACACAATTATGACTTTTGAATCCTTTATTAATGGAGGTTACAGCAGCCTAAATAATTTGAAAAGTGGGGTTGGCTCTCAAATAACATGGAGGGTTTGTTTTAGAGGAAACATGTAACACAACAGGACTCCAGAAGCACGTGCTTTAAGGTATAAGGACATGTACCCCTGGTGACAGAGGATGTATAAATATTGTGAGTCCAAATATATAGGCCACTTGTTTAAGAAAAAAAGACATTAGGAGTATAAAAAGGAATCAAATGTAAGTGCAAACTCATAATAAATCTAAACTACATGAGGCATAAAGCCTAAATAAGTGCTTAAGTAGCTGAAATAGTATCACTTTATGTTGGAAACCTGAAAGGGACTAAATATATGACATAGAGTCCATATTTAAAAACTTCATGTAGGCATTAAATAGAAAGGATACAGCTCATTTGACAACCAGTAGAAAAGGCAGCTATTTAAAGAAGCGTAATCCAAGTTAATGATATACATATATGAGGTATTAGAATACGTAATTCAATGGCCATTCATGATAAAATGCTCAGAAAATGCAAATAGAGAGGAACTGCCTCAACTTGATAAAGAGCATCTGCAAAAAAATCTCACAGCTAACACAGCGGTGAAAGACTGAAATTTTTCCCCCAAAGATCGGGAACAAAGCAATGATGTCCACTCTCGCCATGCTTATTCAACATGGCGTTGGAAGTTCTAGATAATGTAATGGGCGAGAAAAAAAAAAGGCGTGCAGATTTCAAAGGAAGAAATAAAAATGGATCAAAGTCTAATATGTAAAACATAAAGTCACAAAACTCTCAGGAGAAAATCTTCAGGATCTAGGGTTAAGCAAAAAGCTTTTAGACTTGACACCAAAGGCATAATCCATAACAGGAAAAATTAATAACGTGCAACTACTAGTGGTTTGTCCTCACCAATTTGTATTTGAGGTTTATGGGGATACTTTGACACTTAGTTTTGTTGAAAATGTTAAGATGCTGTATTAAATTATACTTTTTATTTTGATATAATTGTTGATTCACGGACACTTTTAAGAAATGTTACAGAGATATCTCATGTACATTTTACCCAGTTTCCTCCAAGGATAACATCTTGTAAACTACAGTAAATTATCACAGTCTGGATATTGACATTGATATAATTAAAATAAAGAACACTTTCATCACTATAATATCCCTCATTTTGCCCTTTTGTAGCCACAGCCACTTCCCTCCCATTTCCACTTCTTCATTAACACAGCAATTATTAATTTCCATCTCTATAGTTTTGGCATTCCAGGAGTGTTATATAAGTGGAATCATTTAGTAGACAACATTTTGCAATTTTTTTTTTCACTCAGCATAATTCCCTGGTGATTCATCCAGGTCGTGGTGCCTGTATCCAGTTTGTTCGTTTTTATTGCTAAGTAGTATTTCCTAGTATGGATATACCACAGTTTGTTTCCAGTTTTTGTCTGAATAAAGCTGCTATGAGCATACATGTGCAGATTTTTCTCTGAACATAAGTCTTCATTTCTCTGGGATAAATGCTCAGGAGTGCAATTGCTGGGTTGTATGGTGGTTGCATGTTTTGCTTTTAAAGAAAATGCCAAACTATTTTCCAGTGTGGCTGTACTATATTACATTCCCAGCAGCCAAATGTGAGTGATCTATTTTCTCTGCATCCTCACCAGGATTTGGTATTGTGCCTACTTTTTATTTTTAGCTATCATGATAGGTATATAGTAATATCTTATTGTGGTTTTAATTTGTAATTCTCTAATGGCTAATGACATTGCACATGTTTTCATGTCCTTATTTTGTATCTATGTATCTTTTTTGGTTCCATATGCATTTTAAAATAGTTTTTACTAGTTCTGTGAAGCATCTCAATTGTAGTTTGATAGGAATAACATTGAATTATAAATTGCTTTGGGCAGTATGGCCATTTTAATGATATTGTTTCTTCCTATCCATGAGCATGCAATGTTTTTCCATTTGTTTGTGTCATTTCTGATTTCATTGAGCAGTGCTTTTTAGTTCTTCTTGTGGAGATCTTTCACCTCCCTGGTTAGCTGTATTCCTAGGTATTTTATTCTGTTTGTGGCAATTGTGAATAGGACTGCATTCCTGATTTTGCTCTAGGCTTGACTGTTGTTGGTGTATAGAAATATTAGTAATTTTTGCACATTGATTTTGTATCCTGAGACCTTGCTGAAGTTGTTTATCAACTTAAGAAGTTTTTGGGCTGAGACGATAGGGTTTTCTAGATAGATGATCATGTCATCTGCAAACAGGAATACTTTGACTTCCTCTTTTCCTATTTGGCTGCTCTTTATTCTTTTCTCTTGCCTGATTGCCCTGGCAAGGACTTCAGTACTATGTTGAATAGGAGTAATGAGAGGGGGCATTCTTGTCTTCTGCCAGTTTTCAAGGGGAATGCTTCCAGCTTTTGCCCATTCAGTATGATGTTGGCTGTGGGTTTGTCATAGATGGCTCTTACTATTTTGACGTATGTTCCTTCAATAGCTAGTTTATCAAGAGTTTTTAACATGAAGGAGTGTTGAATTTTATCAGAAGACTTTTCTGCATCTATTGAGATAATCATGTGGGTTTTGTCTTTAGTTCTGTTTATGTGATGAATCACATTTACTGATTTTTATATGTTGAACAAACCTCATATCCCAGGGATAAAGCCTACTTGATCATGGTAGATTGGCTTTTGGATGTGCTGCTGGATTCGGTTTGCTGGTATTTTGTTGAGGATTTTTTTGCATCAATGTTTATCAAGGATATTGGCCTGAAGTTTTCTTCTTTTGTTGTGTCTCTGCCAGGTTTTGGTATTTAGATGATGCTAGCTTCATAGAATGAGTTAGGTAGGAGTCTCTTCTCCTCAATTTTTTGAAATAGTTTCAGCAGGAATTGTACCATTTCTTCTTTGTACACCTGATAGAATTCAGCTGTGAATCCATTTGGTCCTGGGTTTTGTTTTGTTTTGTTTTGTTTTTTTTGGTAGGCTATTTACTACTGACTCAATTTCAGAGCTCATTATTAGTCTGTTCATAGATTCAATTTCTTCCTAGTTCAGTCTTAGGGGGTGTATGTGCCCAGGAATTTATCCATTTCTTCTAGATTTTCTACTTTATGTCATAGAAGTATTCATAATATTCTCTGATGGTTGTCTGTATTTCTGTGGGGTCAGTGGTAATACCTCCTTTGTCATTCCTAATTGTGTTTATTTGAATCTTCTCTCTTTTCTTCTTTATTAGTCTAGCTAGAAGTCCATCTATTTTATTAATTATTTCATAAAACCAGCTCCTGTATTCATTGATCTTTTGAATCATTTTTGTGTCTCAATCTCCTTCCATTCAGTTCTGGATTTTGGTTATTTCTTGTCTTCTGCTAGCCTTGAGATTGGTTGGCTCTTGATACTCTAGTTCTTTTAGTTATTATGTTAGGTTGTTAAATTGAGATATTTCTAACTTTTTGATGTGGGCATTTAGTGCTATAAATTTCCTTCTTAACACTGCTTTAGTTGTGTCCCAGAGCTTCTAGTGTGTTGTATCTTTGTTCTCACTCATGTCAAAAAGTTTCTTGATTTCTGCCTGAATTTCATTATTTTCCCAAAAGTCATTCAGGAGCAGGTTATTTAATTTCCATGTAATTGTACGGTTTTGAGTGAACTTTTTTGTCTTGGTTTCTAATTTGATTGTGCTGTGGTCCAAGAGATTTTTTCTTATGATCAGTTCTTTTGCATTTGCTGAGGAGTGTTTTACTTCTAATTATGTGATCGATTTTAGAGTATGTGCCATGTGACAATGAGAAAAATGTATATTCTGTCTTTTTGGGGTGGAAAGTTCTATAAGATGTCTATCAGGTTCATTTGATCCAGAGCTAAGTTCAGGTCCTGGGTATCTTTGTTAATTTTCTGTCTTGATGATCTGTCTAACATTGTCAATGGGGTGTCAAAGTCTCCCACTATCATTGTGTGGGAGTCTAAGTCTCTTTGAAGGTCGTTAAGAACTTGCTTTATGAATCTGGGTGCTCCTCTTTTGGAGGTATATATTTTTAGAATACTTAGATCTTTTGTTGAATTGAACCATTTACCATTATGTAATGCCCTTCTTCATCTTTTTTGATCTTTGTTGGTTTAAAGTCTGTTTTGTCTGAAACTAGTATTGCAACCCCTGCTTTTTTCTGTTTTCCATTTGCTTGGTAGATTTTTCTCCATCTGTTTATTTTGATCCTATGTGTGTCACTGCATGTGAGATGAGTCTTTTGAAGACAGCATACTAATAGGCCTTGGTTCTTTATCCAGATTACCACTCTGTGCCTTTTAATTGGGGCACTAGCCATTTACTTTTTTTTTTTTTTTTTTTTTTTTTTGAGACGGAGTCTTGCTCTGTCGCCCAGGCTGGAGTGCAGTGGCGGGATCTCGGCTCACTGCAAGCTCCGCCTCCCGGGTTCACGCCATTCTCCTGCCTCAGCCTCCCAAGTAGCTGGGACTACAGGCGCCTGCCACTACGCCCGGCTAATTTTTTGTATTTTTAGTAGAGACGGGGTTTCACCGTTTTAGCCGGGATGGTCTCGATCTCCTGACCTCGTGATCCGCCCGCCTCGGCCTCCCAAAGTGCTGGGATTACAGGCGTGAGCCACCGTGCCCGGCCCCATTTACATTTAAGATTAGTATTGATATGTGTGGATTTCATCCTGTCATCATGATGTTAGCTGGTTATTTTGCAGACTTGTTTATGTGGTTGCTTTATAGTGTCACTGGTCTGTGTACTTCAGTGTGTTTTTGTAGTGGCTAGTAAGTCTTTCCTTTCCATATTTAGTGCTTCCTTCAGGAGCTCTTGTAAGACAAGTCTAGTGGTAATGAAATTCCCTCAGCATTTCCTTCTCTGAAAAGGTTCTTATTTCTCCTTCACTTTTGAAGATTAGTTTGGCCAGATATGAAATTCTGGGTTGAAATTATTTTCTTTAAGAATAATAAATGTTGGCCCCCAGTCTCTTCTGGCTTGTAGAGATTCTTCTGACAGGTCCACTGTTAGTCTGATGGACTTTTCATTGTAGGTGACCTGGCCTTTCTCTCTAGCTGCCAACTGTTTTTCTTTCATTTCAACCTTGGAGAATCTGATAATTATGTGCCTTTGGAATGATCTTCTTGTGAAGTATCTTACTGGGGTTCTCTGCATTTCCTGTATTTTAATGTTGGCCTCTCCAGCTAGGTTGGGGAGATTCTCATGGATGATACCCTGAAATATGTTTTCCAAGTTGGTTTCATTCTCCCCATCTCTCTCAGGAACACCAATGAGTCATAGATTTGGTCTGTTTACATAATCTCATATTTTTCAGAAGTTTTGTTCCTTCCTTTTCATTCTTTTTTCTCTATTCTTGTCTGACTATCTTATTTCAGAAAGCCAGTCTTGAAGTGTGGAGATTCTTTTTTCCACTGGGTCAGTTCTGCTATTAATAGTTGTGATTGCATTATGAAATTCTTATAGTGTGTTTTTCAGCTCTATCAAATTGGTTATGTCCTTATCTATACTAGCTATTTTATCTATCAGCTCCTGCATTGTTTTATCATAATTTTTAGCTACCTTGGATTGGGTTTCAGTGTACTTCTGTAGCTCAATGATCTTCATTTCTATCCTTATTCTGAATTACATATCTGTCATTTCAGCCATCTCAGCCCAGTTCAGAATCCTTGCTCGAGAGGTGATGTGGTCGTTTGGAGAACAGAAGACACTCTGGCTTTTTGAGTTGTCAAGGTTCTTGCCTGATTCTTTCTCATCTTTGTGGGCTTATTTTCCTTTAATCTTTGAGACTGCTGACCTTTGGACAGCAAAGATCATCCAACCTTTTTTATTTATCCTATTTATCCTATTTGATGACTTTGAGGGTTTGATTGTGGTATAAGGTGGATTCAGCCAACTGACTTCATTTCTGGACAATTTTATTTGGCCAGTATTCCACTCCCAACTCCTGGACTGCATGCTGTAATTCTTTGGGACTTGTATGGGACCCTGACTTTGTTCTCTGTTTCCTCAGAATTAGGAATCCGCTGTGATGGGCGGGGGGTGGGGGAGGTGGCAGGAGTGGTGCAGTCCGAAGTGCTCCCAGACCACTGGTCACTACACTCCAATGAGTGTTGTCAGCCAAAGTGTTTCATAGTACAGTGACAGCAGGATCTGTCCTTGTTTGAGTGTACCAGCAGCAGTGGTAGTTGAAGCTGTAGCAGAGTACTAGCAGGTGCCGGGGTGCCCACCTCCCTGCAGGCATCCACCACAGTGGCAGAGGCAATGCAACTGCAGGAAAGGAAGGGGGTCCCCTGCTGGCAACTGTGTGTGTGGTCACACAGGAAGTGGTGTTGGCTTAGGGGCAAGGCATTGGCAGGTGCAGGTCTGCGTGCCTTTTCTGTGCAGGAGTGGTCACTCAGGGTGGGGGAGGATCAGCTGTTCTCTGCTCAGTGTTAGCACAGGGTGGGATGATGGAGGGAGTGGGGCTGGCTGGCTCTGTGCCCACCAAGGCTCTGTCTGCAATGGCTGTCAGGAGGGAATTGGTGGGGGGTGAATTACACTCCTATGCTGGTGAGGCAAGGAAAACAAAACCCACCCAGCAGACATGTACCAGCAAAATGATGTGGGGAGTTGCTGTGGGCCCAGAGGAAGCTGCAGTGTGGGGAGGGAGCATGGAGGCTGGTGCCTGGCCATAGGGGCCTCCTCATTGGAGCTCTCCACTTACTGGTCAGTCATGGTCTGCCAGTGTAGAAGCTATGGTGCAGGCCCACAGGGCACCTGAGGCTGCTTTGAAAGCAGATGTGGCCAGGCCGGGGCCCCAGGAGAGGCCAGAAGACCAACGGTTGCTCAGGTAGAACCAGACTCATCTGATGGGCAAGACCACCCTACAGATTTCGGGACCAACAGTTTCCCTAGGGCTAATGTCTCCTATGGGAGTAAGTTGAGCCTAGGGAAATGGCCATCCCTGGCCATGCTCCACTGCAGATGCTCCTGCACTGAATCCTCTAGGCTCCACACCCGCTGGCTTGCCGCCCCTATGGCTTCTCTAAGCAGCTCTTCCTGCCAACTCAAGTGTCCATGGTGGTCAATGGGTCTCCTCCTGCCATGGTTGCAGAGGTCATAGTGACAGTGGGTTGTTCCTTGCCAGTTCAACTCACCCATTTTCCTGGAGCCATTGGAGGACAGGAATGAGTCTGGATGTGCTGTAGCCCCATGTAGGGCTCCCAGCTTTCTCCCACTTCAGTCCAGCTTCTGTGTCTTCCCTCTGTCCACTCTAGGTGCCTTCTGTCTGAACATCTGTTAGGAGCACGCCAGTCATCTGGGTTCCTCGTTGAGAACTGTTTCACCTGGCTGCATCTAGTCAGCGATCTTGCCCTCCCCCCAACCAAAATACATTCCAATAAAACTTGTGGATACTAAAGAAAAAGAAAATACCATCTGGATACTCAGCAAAAGTAGCAATGACTTTTTAATAATTAGATTATCATCAGACTTTTTGATAGCAGTTATGTGAAAATGTAGTAACTTTTTAAGATACTCAAGAGCGGAAAATGGAACCAAGATTTTTATAGCCACAAAACTGACTTTCGACTATGAAGTGCAAGAACTTCCTGGTGTGGACTGAATATGCCGTCCCAAAATTCATATGATGAAATCGTAACGCCCAAGGTGACAGTACCAGGAGGTGACGCCTTTGGAAGGTGATTAGGTCATGAGGGTGCAGCCCTTATGAATGGCATTAGGGCCCTTATAAGGGAGATTCCAGATAGCTCCCTTTCCTTCTGCCACATGAAGTCTTAGTGAGAAGATGCTGCCAGCAGGCCTTCACCAGATCCCTACCAGGCTGACACACTGATCTTAGACCTCCAGCCTCCAGAACTGTGAAAAATACATTTCTGCTGTTTTTAAGCCATCCAGTCTCTGGTAGTTGGTTATAGCAGCTCATACAAACTAAGACACTTTCCTAAGTCTTCCTGAGGCACCTAGGAGAAATAGTTTCAAACAATCATGATGACTACATCAGTAGCTTATAATTCTTTTGGTATCAGGATCCCTTTTTATTCGTAAAATTGTTGAGAACACCAAGAAGCTTTAGTTTACATGGGTTATGTAAAGTGACATTTATATTAATTTATTTGTTATTAAATAACAATAACAAACCCATTACATGTTAACATAAACAACATACTTTTATGGAAAATAGCTGTCTTCTCCAGCACAAAAAAATAGTGAAAAAAAAGGAATTATTTTACATTTGTAAAAATCTCTTTAATGTCTGGCTTAATAAAGCTAGCTTGGTTATATATTCTTCTACATTCAAGCTGTAACAATATGTTGTTTTGGCTAAAGTACAAGAGGAGAATCTGGCCTCACTCTTATACACAGTTGGGAAAAGAAGGAAAGTTTCAATAACCATTTCAGCTATTGTAACTGTTCTTCCTTGATAAGACACCAAAACTCAAGAAATGGCAGATTCTTAAAGGTTAGTTGCAGTGTGGAATCTGAAACCTTATAAATTAACTTTTCATATTCTGTTGTGTTAAAATTCACTAGTCTATCTTTAAATGGATCTTTTCCTCTATGCATGACTTTGCAATATCATGCATTGATTATTTGTAAATTATTGATTCATGGGTTTACGCAGTTTTTTAAAATGTTGACATATTTTATTAAACAATATTTTTTAAACCATATTTGTTAATATCACCACCAATCTCATCAGAAACATCTTTAAGTAGTGAGAAGCTGCGGCACACGTAAGTTTTCCAAAATTTTAATTTTCTCTTGAAATTCCAATTTCCACTGTCAATATTATTTTCTCTGATGGGATAGGCTCATTTTGTTTATTTTTGAGAAAATTTCTACCAAATACCCAAGTCTGAATAATCACAGTGTGCCTTTCAGTCATTCTTTCAAGGAAAATGATGACCCACTAAAAAAAAAATGTTTAACTTCACTCACAACTCATGCAATTACATAATGGCTTTTCCACAGGACAACTGCCTTTCCATCAGTATGCACCAGAAATGCTGCCTATGTTCTTACACTGACTATTAAACAGATGTGTGTTTGAGGTTTAAAATTTAGTAAACTAATGATTTTATTGCTTCATCAAAGTCACTGGCTTTTGCTTTTTTTTTTTTTTTTTTTTTTTAACTGTAAGCTTATGGCAGTGAAGAACATGACCTACCTGTACAGCTTGGTGTCACCACCTTGATTTGTGCTCAGGCACTAACAGTTTCATGTGACCACCATAGATTTCTGTACCACTATGTAAATAATACAGTGAAAAAGGCAAATAACATCTTAGTATTAGTACAAAAATAGCTTGACTTCATAGGCCCCTTGAAGGGTCCCAGGGACCCCCAGGGATCCATGGACCACACCTTGAAAACCACCACATGACAGGGATATCAACATAAGGAATGATGGTGAGCATTAAACATATCTCTACTCACAGAACTAAGACTAACAAGGGAGTAAGTAGTCTATGCAATGATACAGGATCAACTAATATAGACATAGTTCAACTAGAAAGCGGGGGAGAACATAGGTAAAAAGGGAGAACACAGGTAATAGGGAGAATGTAGGTAAAAAGAATTTCAACCGTTTTCAGTAGCCATTTTGGTGGTTGTAGTATTAGTGTTATTATCCTTAGACTGCTGTCTATGTTAACTCAGGAAAAGCAAATAAGTATGGACATTCTAATTGTGTCTGTCCCTGTGTCCTTGAAAACCAGAGTTCTTGGTGTAAAAGAAAGGAGATGCAGAAGTAATATAGAGAAGACTGATTTTTTTTTTAAGATGGAGTATTGCTCTGTCACCAGGCCGCAGTGCAGTGGCACAATCTTGGCTCACTGTAACCTCCGCCTCCCAGGTTCAAGCGCTTCTCCTGCCTCAGCCTCCGGAGTAGCTGGGACTACAGGCGCACGCCACCACGCAAGGCTAATTTTTTGTGTTTTTAGTAGAGACGGGGGTCAAACACTGATCCTGCCTTTCCACTGTACCACTAAGTAGCCCACTAGTAAGTGGAGGGAAGTGTCTCTTCACTAGTAAATGAAGGGAACTGTCTCTTTGTAGCATTAATAAAGCATAAAATGAAGAAAAAATGACAGAATACCACCATTTAGCAATCCCCAATAAATTAACAAACCTAAGCAATTAGTATCAATGGTTGCTAACATCACAAAAAGAAACAGCTGGAAATTATGTCTCTCATGGTGAAAGGCCACAACACCACGTATAGATTTTCCAAAGGAAAAGATTGAACCAGAGTCTGATCCAGCCTCTGCATCCAGATGCCAATTTGCGGGAGGCACAGAAGGCAGAGGATGTGTTACACTGCACCATGTGTATGCAGCCAGCAAAATCCAGAGTGTGGGAAACTCTACAGGTCAAATGGATTGAGCTTTTCAACAGATTAATCATAAGGGGGAAAAAAAGGCTGATGGGGGAGAAACCAGTGAAGTATAAGAGACGTAAAAGACAACTAAGCTGTGGCGTCCAGGAACACATACCTGGGGGACTAGACTACAAAGACATGAAAGAGGTTACAATAAAATCAGGATATGGTCACTTTCGAGGGGAAGGAGAGGCTTTGATTGGCCTGACGTACAGAGACTTCTGCTGGAGCTGGCAAAGTCCTGTTCCTTGACTTGATTACAGGGGTTTTTCTTAAATAATTCACTAAAATGTACATTTTTTGTATCTCCATTTTATTTGACAATAAAAGGTTTTTAAAAACAGTGAAAAGGAAACAGTGACTACCTGAGCATTTGTCTTCTGAAGACTGTGGAGACTGCAGTTGGAAGACAGAAAGCTTTGGAGATCATGACTTATAGGAGTAGGGCTGGACCACAGAAAAGTAAATGATTTGGGGCTGGAAGGAGTAAGGTCTCAGGGGAGTTTCTGGACAATGCCCTTGGCAATGGGGATTAATGATGTACACGTAGAAGGGAGAAGGGCAGATGGGTGGGAGATGCATGATCTCAGAACACAGAGCTCCAGAATCAGTTCGGGCTCCTCCAAGGATCAGGGAAGAGAGTTATTCCCAGAACATTGACCTCATGAATGTCCTTTACCTCACCCAGGGCCCAGACTACTCATCACTACTTCAGGCTCCAGAGAGAGAAGCTTCAGTGAGGACCTTAGCATGACTGAGGGAGCAGAACAGCTCTTGAGACCTGGAGGCACAGTGATGAAGGTCTCAGGAGGCAGCCTCACCACCCCCCACAGCCGTTCCAGAGACTCAGGGGACAGTCCCATCCAGACAGCAGCAACCTTACTCCTCCCTACCCCCATGTCATCTCCCTCTGGCCAAAGAACCGGGAGAATGATCTGCCACTCAAAGACAAGGAAAAAGAGACATTACCTCATTACCAGACATCTGCGTCCTCACATATCCTGGAAAGAAATCGAGAAAAGAATGGATTGCCCCAATTAGGACCCAATATGATTATCCCGAGGGAAGAACAAATGGCTGGCAAGGTCAGCACTCTCTCTGCTTATCCCATTTCTAGCTTCAGAAAAAAATTATCCCGGTGATCCCTGAGAGGCACAATCAGCTTTCCTTGCCTCAGATCATTGACGTTAGGGAAGGTGGGAGTGGGGAAGGTCTGGGACAGGTGGCAGGGCACTCCTCACAGGCTCATTACCTTTCTGAGCCCTTAGCTGGATGACGATTCCCACCAGAAGGAAGATTAGCCCAAGTAGGAAGGCTGCAATGCCACTCAGCATCTTTCTCCAAGAATATTCAGACTGAGCTCCTATGGGAAACAGGTCTTTAAATTAGTAAAAATATCCCAATATTTAAAGCACTTTCTTGGAATCCCAGAATCTGTACTAGACACCAAATCCAATGCTAGCTAGAGAAAAATAAATAAATTTAGAAAAGGTTCTTCGAAACCAAAGTTGGCACCCATGGAGTTACCACCCATCGGTTACAGATTCTCACAGCCCATAAGAATGCCTCCTAAATACTAAGACCAAAGAATTAGAGGACACCAGTTCATAGGGTTGGAAGCACATAATGAGGTGATTAGATCTCCTCATTTCTTGGAAGATATGAGGATAGATATCTGCCATGTTTTCTCCCACCCTAACCCAAGGACTCTGGTTTCTGTGACTGTCCCAGATCAAGGGAAAGAATAATTCATGTTGTGACCAAGATAAACGCAGAAGTGACACAGGCTCTGTATTGAGTCAGTATAGTCCTGAGTCAGGCCCAGAGAGTACTAGAAACTAATTCTCACTCCACTCCACAGAAACAGGGCTCAGCAGGCTGGAGTGATCGACAAGGCAGGTGTAGACATGTCCAAGTTCAGGAGTCATTTCTAGCATCACCACAGTCTGAAAGGTCCAGTCTCCATTCCTGATAGGGCCAGTGGACATGACCCCAGCTCTCTCCTCCTGCCCATTCAGGAACCACTTGATCTTGATATCCCCTGGATAGAAGCCTGTCACAGAGCAGTGCAGCAGATTATGCTGGTGCAGGAGTGGGGTCCTCTCTGGGTACACTGTCACCTCTGGTTGCACTAGGAAGGGAGGAAAAATGAGACACCGTGAAAGAAAACCACCAAGCTGGGACAGGAGATTCTTTAGGGACTATCACTATGTCTAATCTCTTTCCCAGATCACCCAAGTGAACACAAAGTATAGGCAAGTCTCAGCCCCCAAGATCAGTAACAGGGTATGTCAATGCCTGTCAGGAGGATTTAGACTTTCTGAGGTACTCCCATAATTACTGCTTCTCTTTGAGGGTACAATAGCCCTCGAAGTCCCTGAGAACCTTGGGGGTCTGAGACCAAGATCACAGTGGCTGACTTGTGAGGATAATATATCACAGCTGGGGCCAGAACATCTACACAGACAACCATTTATCCTAAAGCAGAAAATTGCTTGTAAGAAAGAAGAGCCATGGCCAGGTTCACATGGGGGACATTCCTGAGCCCCGCCAGACCTCAGCTTCCAGCTCACCTTTTCTCCCCACAGTGAAGGGTGCGCCCAGCCTGTAGTTGTGTCTACAGACCCCATCCACGGCCTGTCTGCTCCTCTCCAAGAGATCCAGCCGGCTGTTCCACTGCTCAGCATCTGGCTGCCCCAGCTTGGTCAATGCCACAAACATCCCCACATCACTGTCGAAACGTACATACTCCTCCAAGTTAAAGATGAATCTGACCACAAACTGCACCTTTTCTGTCCCGTTGGTGAAGTAACAGTCAGCCTTTGCCTGAATCACAAAATCTTCTGGAAAACCAAAACCAAAACCATGAACCAGCCCCCTCCTCTGGGAAAACCCATGCCTGGTAAATTACGTCAGACCACATGGATCTAAGAGGAGGCCTTTGACCTCAGTATGCTCAAAAAGCACAGTGTCAAGTGAGAAAAGAAACAGAATGGGATTCAACAGAGAATGACATTTATTAAATTTTAAAAACACATAAAGAGCAAGAATGCTACATATTTCTAAAAGCCACTCTCATACTTAGAGACATACCAGACACGTTTAGAATGGATTCTCTAGGGAGGGGAGAGAATGAGAACGGAGGCAAGAGAAGAGACGAGAGAGTCTTGCACTACTGCCAATAATTACAATGTGCTGTGAACTCATTGGGTAAAATTAAACCAATCCTATGCACTTAAGAACAACAACTACAATAAAAAGGAAATTCAAATGGAGTTAATAATGTAGGTAAGTCAGGAAGGACGTCCTGAAGACATTGCATCTAAGTCAAGACTTGAAAGATAATTGCTATTAATGTTGGGTTGTAATTTACTTTCCTTTCTAAGTTCAGAAGCCTCCTCCAACTCTGAACTGAGCCATAAGAATGACCTTCCTGGGTGAACCCCACTTATCCCTCACTCAGTAGCTAATTTCAGATGAAGTTCCAGCCTGTAATTTCTCAGCATGTATACTCTTCTCTATTTCCTCTAGTAGTCTAAACCAGGGGGGAAATCTGAATTTTTCATCATCATTTAACATCTGTGCTGATTTTTTTTTCAGTTGTATTGTTTAATGGACATTATAAACTCAGGGCGGTTTCTATTCTCTAAGAATAATGATCTCTCCTGGCCAGGTTTGTTCCTCTTTTGTATTTAATGAAACTAACATGCAAAGGGGATTCTGTTCTTAGCACATTACATCCTGTTTCTGCTCATTAATATGTGCTTTCATCTCACATTGCTTCATGGCTGCATATTCTGTCACCTGTGCTAGAAAAATAACAGTTACAAGTAACTTGTACCTGGTAGCCGGAGGACAAGGACAATGTATTCTATTCAACTTCTCTTACTTCTCAAAACTGTTTAGTACAATTCTGACAATATAATAGTGGCTTAATAAATGACAGAAGGAGCAACCTTTGTTTCCAGTTTCATTTGTCCACATATACCCCAACTGAGATTTGTTTCCGTGTCCTGACCAAAAAATCACAGATTGCCTCTGTGACCCAGCCTACTGCAGGTTGTTTCTCCCAGCAGGCTCGAACCCAAGCCAAGGCCTTCAACACGCCCAGGCACTGACTGAGGTTGATACACACAATAAGGATCCTAAACAAGACACAATGTTTCCCTCTTCCTGCCTCCCTACCCCTTGAATAGGTGGCTCTGGTATATGAAGTCCATCCCATGTAAAGAGGCAAGGCGTACCTTTCTGCCAAAGGGAAGAACACTGTTCTTTGAAACCAAAAGCCACTTCCAGTCTGGTCTGTGGCCTGGACTTACAAAGAAAGGCATCACTCCCCCATGCCAATTCTTGCATACACACTGGAAAAAAATAATTGCTCTGTTCTTACCTGGAGAGTCTGTGCCTTGAGTCATGGAGGAATCCAGTCGGGTCAGATTCACTAGCAGAGCCACCACCCAGGGGACCCACCCAGAACCCATTCTGGAGAAAGGAAAAAAATGAGACAGTAAAATCGTCAGCCTCTTCAGAATGAGTTCATAAAATTCAGTCAGAAAGTACCCATTAAGAGTATAAATCGCTGTTTTTCTGGCTTCCCCAGGATTGGAAACTCCTCAGATTGACAACCAATCAAGATAGAAGAGTTTTGCATCATCAGGTACTGGGTAGGATACTTTCACAAAGTTGTGTCATACAACTCAACCATTGTTTGCCTGCAGAATCACTGACAGTAATTTAGGTATACTAAAAATGGGCTGGGAGAAGAAGTAAAAATATATGTTTGACATATTATGGGGCCCTAGAAGAACTAGGCAGACTGTTTATTATGTATTCTTCTATTCCCTGGCCTGTTCTGACCAATAGGTCTCCCTTCTTATTGGGTGTTGACATTGCCGACAGGCAGTGTGTAAATTAAGAAGGAATTAAGAGTATGTAAATTAAGCATTCTGAAGCATATGCCTCAAGAAGATTTAGTAAAGGGATTATCAGAGAAGAAATAGAAGACATAGAGAACATTTGGAGAGTACGATTTCCTATAAGCCAAAATGACCACAAAAAAAGAAAAGAAAAGAAAACATGGAAAGAGAATTCTCAAAGAATAAAATTTTGCAAAAAGGCTCACCAGGATACAATCTAAGAGAGCATTATTGTGTTTTATGGTTAGTAGGGCACCAATAACCTTCAAGAGGACAGCAGAGTGTTAAAGGTAGAAGCCATATTTCAAAAGAATGAATTGGAAACAAGAAAACAAAGGCCGCAGATTAAAACAGTCTTTCAAGAATTTTGAAAGTGAAAACAAAGGAAAAAATGGGATACACTTTAGAAAAAAACAACACTAAGAAAAAATACTTTTCTTGGGTTTTTTAAATTGACACGTAATAATTGTACATATTTATGGGGTACAGCATGATGTTCCAACACACCTATACATTGTGTATTGATCAAATCAGGGTAATTAGTATGTGATATATATACATGATGGAATACTATTCCGCCATAAAAAAGCATGAAATCCTGTCATTTTCAACAACATGGGTGAACCTGGAGGGCTCTATGTTAAGTGAAATAAGCCAAGAACAGAAGGACTATATTACGTGATTTCACTCATATGTGGAATCTAAAAAAGTTGACCTCATCGAAGTAAAGAGTACGTTAGTAGTTACCAGAGGCTGGGGAGTCAGGGGTAGAAATGGGTAGAGGTTGGTAACAAGTACAAAGTTACAGTTAGACAGAAGGAATGAGTTCTGGTGTTTTGGGAAAAGAAACTTTTAAGACAGGAGAGACTTCAACAAGGTTGCAAGTGAAGTGCAAGGTATCTGTAGAAAGGAGAAACTGAAGAGAAAAAAGAGAAGAAAGGGGACATTTTCTCCAAAATGCTGTGGTCTGAATGTCACTCAAAATTCAAGTGTTGCAATTTAATCACCAATGTGATAGTATCAAAAGGTGGGCCCTTTAGGAGGTGATTAAGTCATGAATGCAGAGGCCTCCTGAATGGGATTAGAGACTTTAAAAAGGGCTAGAGAGAGCAGGGATGATGGCTCATACCTGTAATCCCAGCACTTTGGGAGGCTGAGGAGGAAGATTGCTTGAGGCTAGGAGTTAGAGACCTGCCTGGAAAACATAGTGAGACCCCCATGTCCAAATAAAATTTAAAAAATTAAAGAAATAAACATGGTGGCATGCACCTGTGGTCTTAGTTACTTTGGAGGCTGAGGTGGGAAGACTACTTGAGCCCAGAAGTTCAAAGTTGCAGTGAACCATGAATGCACCACTGTACTCCAGCATGGGTAACAGAACGAGGCCCTGTCTCAATCAATCAATCAGTCAATCAATAAAAATAGAAGGGCTGGAGGCAATAGCTTGGCACTTTTGCCCTTCTGCCTTCCTCCTTGTGAGGACTGTTACACTGGAATGATTTGACTCAAGTGTTTAGTTAAGTATTCTTTCAGTAAAACCTAGACAGTAAAACACTATCTTTAAGCAAATAAAACCAAAAGTGCAAATTGTAATTCACCATCTATGTTATTATTATTTAAAGGGCAATGTTTACTCATCATTTCACATCATCTTTCAGCATGAAATGTGGCCCTGATTTGCCTATACTGTGCATGTTAAGAATGAACCCAGGGTATCATGGTAACCACAAGTTCACTTCAGTGACTTTTTTCAAGTCGATGGCCAAGGCATCAAATCTTCCAGGGCCATGACCTTGAACTTCTAGCTTCCAGAACTGTGAGAAATAAATTTCTGTTCTTCATAAATTACCCTATCTCGTGTATCTTGTTACAATAACACAAATGGACTAAGATAGAGAGCATAAGGCTTGGGGGAAGAAGGGTACACTTCTTCAGATAAAAGAATAAAGACAGGACGATTAGCAGGGGATAAAGGGGAATGAGGAAGTTCCATTTAGATGGTTGCAAGGGAGTCAGCTGAGAACAAGGCAAGATCTGTCAAAAAGGAGTTGGAAGAAAATATATTTGATAACTAAGAAGAGCAAGAAGTGGTCTGTAAGTGAGTTTTTAAAGTTTTAATTAAGCAGGATTCAGAAAAGAGAGGTGAGATGCAATTGTGCAACCTTTTACTGTTCTATGACCCTTAGTAAATGCCCTTGGTTAGAGGCCTGGATCAGACCAATCAGAAAAATAATTTCTTCTCCATGGGAGATTATAACAGGTAAAGAAAAAGAGAGCAAGACGTGGAAGACATCGCTAGTGTTCATCCTCTAATTCCTAGGCCCATGGAAAACGAGAAACTAGACTTCCTACTCTCCTGGAGCTGTGTGACTCGTTCTCACCAATGGAAAGTGAACAAAAGGTTCCTGGTCAAAGAATTTAACTCCTCGTGCATGACTCTTCTCCTCCTCCCCTACCAAGTCAACCAAGACAGCCTTGTGTTGAGATGGCACAATCCCAGTAGAAAAGCAGTCTAATTAGCTGAGTCACCATGAAGAGCAGCTGCCCCAGGGAATCACTCACACCTACAACACACTCTGTATGAATGAGAAACAACTGTTCTTTAAAGAAGGTACTGGCTTGGTTACCACAGCCTGGCCTGACTTGACTTAACTGCTACAGGACAGGAGCTAGGAGGCTGACCCCTCTCCCTCCACATCTCTCATGTAAATGTGACGATTCATGAAGTGGAAGGCTGGCCACAGGCTTACTGGTAGACCCCCGAGTACAAGGCATTTGACCCTGGTTTTGAGTACTCCTCCTCCAGGTGGATGGCTGTGGAGCTCACACTGGCGAGGGCTTGTGTGGAGCCGAGGATAAGGAGGCATCAGAGGGCACTCAAGCCACTGGGTCTAACTTCCTCCCTTCTTCCTGCCCACACCTACCTTAGTCTTTCCCAGATGTTTTATTGCATTTGGAAATGGAGACAAACACTCAACACAGGCTAAGTGAACAAGGACACGGCACGGAGATGATCAGATGCAGTAACAGCATGAGCGGGTGGAAGAGGCGTGTGTCCCCTTCTTTGTAGACAGCACCATGGCTGGCTTCTGCAGCTTCCCTCAGAGCTGAAGGAAGGGCCATGTGGAGAGGAGAGGAAGGGCCTAGACAATATGGATCAAACGGGGGCCTGTATTTAGATTTAGAGGAGAGAGGGGGTTGATAAATGGCAAGGGATGTGGGGATGGGGAGGAAGTGGAGGATATGGCGCTGGACCAGAAAGTTAGGAGGGCTGCTCTTTCTTCTCTGTAAATGTGTCTAAGGCTCACAAACTCTAAAATCTGACTTGCCTACATAATAATAGCTAATGTTTGTCAATTGCTTATTATGAGTTCATTTTCTAAGCATTATATAAATGTGTGCGTGTGTGTGTATGAGAGAGAGAGAATCATCACACAAAACCCTTTGCAGTAGATACTATCATGATCTCCCTTTTACAGATGAGGTAAGGATGGAATGAACCAAAGTTCACATAACTAGTAAGTCCCTAGGCTGTACTTTTTCTGTCACACTGTATTTCTTGGGAAGCCAGGGAAACTTTATTCCTACAGCTTTAGCATTCCGGTAATGATAAGGTACACAAAAAGGGAAAATAACCAAGGAATTTCATCATAGCTGTTTGGTGTCAGGACAGATCTCTGTAAGGAAATCATATCCTACCTAACCAAAGGAAATCAGTGATCTCACATGACAAGCAAGGAATGGCATAGAGCCTGGCATGGGAACTAAGAAGAGAAAGCAATAAGCTTCAGTTAGCAAGCTATGGATCTCCTTAGATGGCCTCTGGTACATCTTAAATAAACTGAAGCATCAGATTCACCCCCATTAGAAGCGTTTTTGAGTCATTTTCTGTGCATAGTGTCAGTGTCTACGATAGAAGGGCCTGGGCTTATCAGAGACACTGTTCAGTTCTGGGGAGACAAGAGGAAAAAGATGTGGTTTTCTTCCTTTCTCCTGTATTTATGTTTTTGTCTTCTACTTGAACGAGCCTGAAAAATAGGGCAGGGTGTTTTGATCTTTTTTTCCTGCCTGACTTCAGCCAGCAGCCCTCCCTAAATAGCTACAGGCTCCTCTGTGATTTTTCACTCAAGCTCATATTTTGCTTCTCTCTTTTCTTTCCTTCCCCTTTCTCTGAGGAGTGAGAGAATTTGGGTGTATGTGTGGTTGTTTTTTGAAGGTGGCATAAAATTATTATTCTCCCTATTGCCTGACACAAATATCCCTTCAACTGCTATTTTGGTGACTTTGACATGGAAGTAAAACGTACGTCTCAATTCATTTTCTTCCTTCTACTTCCTCCTAACACATCAACATAATCCACACTGCCCTGGAGGAGTTATGAAAAATATTCTGAGTTTCTAGGTAGAATATTAAATCATACTTTTAGAGAACACATTGTTGAGCTACAGTTTAATTGAAGGAATTGTACTAGGCTAAGAATTTTGCCAGCTCAAAATACTGGTTTAATTCTTTCTCAGTGGTGATTGACGTCTCAAACCAGCAAGAGGTGTAACATGAGGGGAAGGGGCTGGGGAAGAGGGAAAGGATGTAAGAAACAAAAGAAATAGTTAGAATTTGGGGTGTCCAAAGCAAACTCATGATCCCACCTAGTGAGAATCCATTTGGAAACTGAGGAACCAAAGGCTTTGGGCTCCAATCTGCAGCCACTTCTTTGATACGACTTTGGGATAGGTGGACTCACCCGAAGTATTGTTTTACATGTACTATTTGCCTCAATTTCCCTGTGATGGTTTTGTCCATCACCTCATCCTGAAAAAATAAATGTTGGTGATGCTTTGTTCCACATATTCGTTCATTTGAACTCATTATTCCCAGGAAATATCCATTGAAATTCAAAATATCATGAACTTCCAAAGGGTTTTCTAGAAAAAAAAAACAAAAAAAACCCCTTGATCTTAATGGGTGTTTTTTAATCTGTGCTAGAATCTGTTTGGAATGTTTTATTTAGGATTTTTGTGTCAGTATAATAAGTAAATTCATCTACAATTTTTATATTTGTGCATTGTCATAGTTTAACATCAATATTATACTTGCTTCATAAAAAAATTTTCTTCTATGCCATTGAGCCATTTAATTTTTGTTTGTTTGTTTGTTTGTTTTAGAGACAAGGCCTCACTCTGTTGCCCAGGCTGGAGTGCAGTGGCACAATCATAGCTCACTGCAGCCTTGAACTGGGCCCAAGCGATCCTCCCACCTCAGCCAAGTAGTTGAAACCACAGGCACGAGCCACCACATCTGGCTAATTTTTGTATTTTTTGTAGAGACGGGTTTTCGCTGTTGCCCACACTGGTCTTGAGCTCCTGAGTTCAAGCAATCCGACTGCTTAGGCCTCCCAAAGTGCTGGGATTATAGGTGTGAGCCACTGCACCCGGCCTCTATTTTCAATTTTAAAAGTTTGATATAGATGTAGCATATCTATTTTTTTATTGATAGTAATATCTTCTATCTTCTGTGTTCATACTTTTTTTTTTTTTTTTTTTGAGGCAGAGTCTCACTGTGCCGCCCAGGCTGGAGTGCAGTGGTGCGATCTTGGCTCGCTACAACCTTTGCCTCCCAGATTCAAGCAATTCTCCTGCCTCGGCCTCCCAAGTAGCTGGGATTACAGGCGCCCACCACCACACCCAGCTAATTTTTGTATTTTTGGTAGAGACAGGGTTTCACCATGTTGGCCAGGCTGCCCTCGAAATCCTGACCTCAGGTGATCCGCCCGCCTTGGCCTACCAAAGTGCTGAGATTACAGGCATGAATCACCAGGCCCAGCCTATTTTTTTGTCCACTTAACTGGTCTAGTCCAGGGAAAGGGAATTAAAGTGTTCTATTGGTAGTACATTTCTGAATATTTTCCTTGTATCTACCTTAATTTCTGCTTTATAAGAGCTACCTATTTGGTATTTAGAACTTAAACACATGTCTCATATATTCATATGAATTTTATACTTTACATTATAAAGTGCCCTTCTTGTCACACTCAATTTTTTTTTTTTTTTTTTTTTTTTTTGGTGAGGAGTGTCTGAATTTCATCTTGTTTGGTAAGACGAATGTGACCTCTGCTTCCCTTTTGTTTGCATTCTCTTGTTATGTCTTTGCCCATCATCTTATTTGTTGAAAATAATGAATACATCTTTCTGAGTGGCTTTATGTTAGGTGTCTTTTGCATATTGCAAATAATAGAGTTTTTATCTTAATCTAATTTAAAAATATTTTCATTTATTTAGTTCAGTTAAGAAGCCCATTTATAATTATTCATACAGCAAATAGATTCAGTCTAATTCAGAGATATTAACTTCTGTTAAGTATAATGTTTACATGAGTATTTTTAAAAATCTTTCACTATGTCTTTATTGTGCATTTTAAAAATTTTACCTTTTCAGATATTAAGGAAGGTGTATATTTCAAGGTTGCTTTGATAAGTTTATTTGTATATAATACACTTAGTTCCCTCTTCCTTTAGATAATTCCTATTAGTTTTAAATAATGAACAATCACAAAACTAGCTCATATCCTCTCCCTTCCTCTTTCTGTGTGTGTGTCTACCTTTGTAGTCTTAAATGTGTAAATACGAGCACTTGATTTATTAGTTTTAAAGAATATATTTTGATTCCTAGATGTTACAGACAAGAACATCAACAGGCTTATTTGATATCCTTATTCATTTTTCCACTTATTCTATAATCATTGAGAAATGTGTTTCAATTTCTCAATTAATTTCTTCCTATAATTCTCCTATATTTCTTACATATTTTGTAGTTTTATTGCTAGGTGCAAACTGATTCAGTTTTAGTATAATGTTCTGGTGACTTCATTATCACTATGTAATGGCTGTCTTTGTTTTTACTAATGCCTTTGGTTTTAGACTATATGTTTAGATATTTCTGTAATTACATAAGCTGTCTTTCTGTCTTCTGTTAGTGTTTGCTTTGTGTATCTTATATCTGGTTTTGATTTAACATTTTCATGTTTTTAGGTTTCTTGTGATCTTATGAAGGGCATATAACTGGATTTTGCGATATTGTTAATCTAATCTGAGAACTTTCCTTTAACTCCCATATTTAAGCTATTTATACTTGTGATCACTGTGCTATTTACATTCGTTTCTGTTACAATATATGGTGCTCTGTATTTGCTATGTCTTACTTTGCTTCTTTTGTTTTCCTTGCATCACTTATATTAAATCAATTACATTTTTATTTAAAGTATTATTTAATTTCCCCTTACTGATTTAGGAATTTTAAATTCTAATTATATTAGTTAAAAGTCAGTCTTATATTTTTAACATGTTTACCAAATGTGGCAGCATCTGAAGGTAATCAATATCTCTACCCTCCTTTCAAACAAGACAAAGACTTTAGGTGCTTTAACTTTGTCTGCCTCATTCTCATGTCACTTGTGGTTGCTCTGCCTTATTTTTAAATTTAATAGTCATTTTCATTACTGATTTTTATCGTTACAGTCATATTTCATTTCTCATTCTGATTTTCCAATATTTTAGACAGATTTGTTATTGTTGTTTGTGTGTGTGTTTATTTTTCTCATCTTTGCTCCCTTATCCTTCTGGGTTTAGTATCTCTGTTACTTACATGATAATATTAAAAAGCAAATGATAACTACAATACAATGCTACTTTCACCCAGAAGATTGTCAAAATTTTAAAAATTAACACTGTCTGTTGGATATATATATATATATATATATATATATATATATATATATGGAGAAACAGATAAACTCATATGTTGCTGCTGGAACTATAAATTAATATAGCCTCTATGAAGGCAATTTTGCAATATCTATCAATATTTGTAATGTATATATTGGACTCAGCAACTCCCCTTTAAGATTGTATCATACTTGTATTTTTGCACATGTGCATTACAATGTCTATACAAGACTAACTAGCAACAGCAAAAGACTTCCAATAACCTAACTAGCCATCAGTAGAAGGAAACAGGATAAATGAAATATGGAACTTCCATAAAATAGAATACTACATAGCCATATATTTTTAATTTAAAAAATAAAGTTCAGAACAGTGAACTTAGACAGCTGCTGTTTGCGAAAATACTGAGCAAGAATAAAGATATACATATTTGCTTAATACACAGTAAACTTCTCTGGAAAGATAAACACAAAGCTGGAAGAACGGATTGCCTATGCAAGAGGAATTAGCAAACCTTGAGAAGGATTGAGAGTGAGGCTTTCCTCTGTATACTTCTTTGTGTCTTTTGAATTTCAAACCACATTCATATATTGCTTATTTAAATAAATAAATAATATATTTTAAAAAGAGGATAGTAGGAAGATAAGTGGAATCAGGGAGTATAGGCAACTCTTTTGAGGAGTTTTATGCAAAGCTGGGCAAGTCCACCTCTTCCTTAGCTATGTGACCCAGGCAAGTTAGTAAATGTTTCTAAAACTCCATTTTCTCACTCTTAGAATTGAGATAGTAATACCTGCCACATAGAATTATCTTGAAAAATAAGGTAAGAAGACAGGTTTCAGATACTTGGCACAGCAATAGCACATAGTAAGCACCAGTGAATGCTTAGTAGTAGTAGTAGTCTAATTCCTAAGAGTCCATGGAACTCTAGGTTCAAAACCCAGTTTCTTCTGGGACCATTAGATGGCATCAGACTCAAGCAGGTGCTCCTCTAGCTGACAGCTCTAAAACACAAGGAAGATCTTTGTTTTCCTTATTCCCTAGTCCTTTCCCCACAAAATTCTGACAATTACGCATTTCCTGCTTGTTTCACAATTGCCATGTGGATTCCAAGTGGCTATCCCTGGGTGGAGGCATAAAGGACTTGAAACTCAATGCTGTTTCCACATAGGGCCGGGCAGACAGGCTATGGAGGTGTTTTGGCATCCAAGGAAATCTATCAGTTTCCCAAGCTTTCCCCTCTCCATTCATACTTTCCTTTAGAAAGAATAAGGCATGCCTGGGTGGGAAAGATACTGCAGGTAAGCGACAAGAAGGGGAAATTACAGGGTAAGGAGATCAATCAAATGGTGATGGGGGGTAGGAGTGAACAAAAAGAACTCTGGAGCAAACCAGGATTAGTGACATCTGTGGTTCCCAGACAAACCACACTTACAGGAATTTGTCTGTCTAGCCCGAATATTTTGACTTTCAGGGAGCATTTTTCTGTGTCCCTGACATAAAGCCTACCTGGGAGTTTCCCCTGAGATAAGAAACTTTCAGGACATCTTAAGGTCTACTGCATCTTCCTGTACTGCCCATCAAGATAAGTTTTCCACCCAGCTTTATCATGATTAGCTGCGTGATTTCATGTCAGTTTCTCTGTAAAATTAGGTTTGACTGTTGCATTATTTTTAAGATGCCTTCCAGGCTTAAAGTATTATGATGCATGGGTATAACTGTACTGAGGAAATCAAAGAATTTCTCAGATCATCTTCTTCTGTGAGGGCTGCAGCTTCCATGTAGTTGGGAGATACAGGAATTACTATTCCTGTTTTATGAATAAAGGACATTTGTGGGAGAGAAAGGAATCAGGCCAGAGTTCTTTCTCTCCAAATGCCTATTTTACCCTCTGTGAAATTTGAGAGATGGATGGGTGTGGAGCTGCAAGTCAGCCCCAGGATGAAAGAAAGGCAAATCTGCACAAGAAACTGCCCACTCTCACCCCATCCTCACTGCACCCTGCTCCCAACAGCTGCCAGGCAAGAAAAAATCCAAAACAGCAGTTCTGGGGAATTCATTGCCAGCACTGGAAACTACCTGCTGTTTCCAGGAATATGAAGGTTTCTCTTTCCTAGAATAGCAACTTTCCAAGGTAAGTCCCTCCCAACAACCAGTGATGTGTACAATGTTGCATTTTCAGTGGTGGGAGTGGGCAGGGAGGATTAAGATTAGTACGATGGTGGAGATATTTATTCATTTATTCAATTGACTATTTATTCTCCACTATGAATTAGGCCCTCGGCCAGGTAGCAGATATAAAGCTTAATAAGATATATGGCTTTCCGCCCAGGTGCTCATGGTCTAGTGGAAGGTCAAAAAAGGTGGGAAAGGGAAGATAGAACTTTAAAAGGGCTGTGAAAGAGGTAACCGCACAGTGATAGAAGCACATGGAGAGTTCCCCAGACTGACGACATAAGTAAGGCCTCCTGGAAGACCTGAACCCTGAGTTAAGTCTTGAACTTGAAAATCAGGGGCGAGTCGAGCAGAAAATGGGCAAGAAAACACCATATGCAAAGGCACAAAGGTGTTGGGGAAGGCAGAAGTTTGTCGTGGAGCTGGATACAACAGGAGAGGGTGAGACAGATGGGCTGTCTATGAGTGAAGACTATAACAACGGGACTGGAGAGAAGAGAATAGATTCTGAATTATTTAGAGCTAAGAGCAGCAGAGCTTTTCTTGATGGGATTATGGATTAGGGTTTATGGACCCAAGATGCAATATAATTGATTGGGTCAGGGTGTGGACTCTAGGGTCAGGCCTGTGTTCAAACTCCAACTCCACCACTACGACCACCTTGGGAAAGTCATTGAGCCTCTTTGAGCTTCAGTTTCCTCATCTGTAAAATGGGGATAATAACCAACCTCATAGGGTTGGAGATAATGATTAAAAACGATAATACATGAAAAACACTTAGCATAGCTCCTACTCACATTAAAACTCTATAAATGGTAGCTGTTACCAATGTCATTATTAATACTGTTAATCAGGGAACTGTTCTCTGTCCCTCCAGACCCTAGCTTCTTCAAAATAGCAGACACTGGTAGGAACAAGGAGGGATATAGGAAGGCAATCTCATGAATATTTATGTCATTTTTGGTTAATTTCTATCTCAAACAACAGATAAACGACTGATGGAACAGGCAGCAAAATAGCAACTATGGTTATCTCCAGGAAGTGAAACAATGGGTACTTTTACTTTTCTTCTTTGTACTTTTTTATATTGTCTAAATTTTCTATATGAATGTATACAGTTCACGTAAGAAGGAAAATATTTTAAAATATATGTATTATGCCACAAAATACTCCTCATCACCAGGCAAAGCTCTAGTCACCAGGGAATTAAGTTTCCTGGACACAGACAGCCTCCACCCCACCACACCCCACCCCACCCCACCTCTCCACCCCACCAAAAGCACACAGTGTCCAAATCTCCATCGTGCTTGCAACTCAGGAACAGCTATCTGGCCGCACAGCTCTAGGGAAACTCAAAGCAGGAACAGCTCTGGGTCCTGGAGACGCCCCTGAGAAGAGGGCCCAGTATCCCTGGGGCCTCAGTCCATCAGCCGCTGCTGAACCAGGCGGGAATAGAGGTCCTGTCCCTCCTGGAGCTGGGCAAGCTTCTGCAGCTTGCCCTCCTGGAGCACCAGGATCTGGTGGGCGCGCTGAACTGCCTGCAGCCTGTGAGCAATCACCAGCACTGTGCGATCCCCACGGGAATTCCAGTCCTGCAGCTGAAGGGGTGATCACAGTGCCTCAGAAAGACAGGAATGAGATGGACACCACATCCACCTGGGCACCATCTCTTATGATTTAGGGTAAAGAAGGTGTGAAATAAAAGAAGGTAGGAAAGGGCAGTAGATAAAGGCCTGGACTGCCCTTCTCTCCCAGCTGTACTGCCACAGCTGGAGGAATGGAAGCCCAGGAGGGAACTGGGGCTGCCCTCACACCACCGGATTCCATTCCCCAACCCCAAGAAGGCACAGACTGTTTCTACTAGTAGGTCCTTCGTCCTCCCTCTGCCCAATTCTACACAGGCTGATCCTCCCAGCATGCCCCTCCCAGGCCCCACTGTCCCCTGCCCTCTCACAGTACTCACGGCCTGCTCGCACTGCACATCTAGGGCACTAGTAGCCTCATCCAGGATGAGGACCCGCGGGTCTCGTACAAGGGCCCGGGCAATGGCCAGACGTTGTTTCTGTCCCGCAGCCAGCTGGCTCCCCTTCTCCCCTACATCTGAGGAAATCAGAGAAATTCCCTTCCTCAGATACAAGTGACACAGATAACACACAAGGAGGGACAAGTGCACAGCAGGTACTTCCAGTAGGACCTCGGGAGGTGGGAGGGCCCAGTGCGGGGAGGGCCCAGTGGGAGGAGGGCCATGGGGTGGGGACCTGACGGGGCTGCCCATGGAGGGAGCACCACTGCTGCATTGCTCTCTGCAAACAAAGACTCTTGAGCAAGAGGGAGGCTGAAGAATTCAGTGTGTGGGGAAGGAGACGTAGGAATGGAGGAAAGGGCAGAGGAACAGCAAACATCAAGTTACAGGGACACGACCTTCACCACTAAGAGTAAGTCTGATTTTCTCTTTTTTACTGAAGGAGCAGGCTTACAATTTGTAGAAGATACCTGTGTATATTCCATGCTCCATTTCCTGGATGAAGTCATCTGCGTGGGCAGCCTGGGCAGCCGCCATCACCTTATCATCTTCGCAGCTCTGCAGCCCATAAGCAATGTTGTTCCTCACAGAACCGGAGAACAGCACAGGCTCCTGCCCAACTGAAACCACCTGTGCAGCGGGGACAGGGGCAGAGGACTATGTGTAAACCCCCAAGGCAGGGGCCCTTTTGTCCTCCCCACCTACCTCCCTCAGAATGAACACCTGGTGCGCCTTCCCGTGGATCTCCCATCCTCTCTCTGTACATGCTCCCCTCTCCTGTCCCCTGTCTTCTCCCTCCTCACCCACCTGGCTGTGCAGGTAGCAGTGTTCATACTGTGAGATGGGCTTTTCATCCAGCAGCACCTGTCCCCCTGTGGGCTGGTACAGATTCTGCAGCAGGGCAGCCACTGTGCTCTTCCCAGACCCATTGGGTCCCACCAGCGCCGTCACCTCACCAGGACGTAGGGTAAACGTCAGCCCCTAGAAAACCAGAAAAAGAGTTAAGGGCCTGCCCCTTCTCCCTCAAAATCCCTCCATTTCTCTTCTTAGCAGAGGCAAGACCAGGTTCTCAGAGGCAAATGAACTATAGGCTGTGATGTCCAATTATGCATTAGCAGCAGAGAGCAAGGGTCCAGGTTTCCTCCCTCTTTCAGGCACCTTGAGCACAGGCCTGTCAGGGCGATTGGGATATGCAAAGGAGACGTCTTGGAATTTCACAACCCCCTGCAGAGTGGTGGGGGCAAGCGTGCCAGGTGAAGGCAGATTTGGCTGTCGGTCCATGTAGGAGAAAACCTTCTCTGCAGCTCCCACGTTGCTGAGCATATCCCCATATATGTATACCAGGGTCTGGAAAACAGGAATGGGAGAGCCGGCTAATTAAACACACTTCTACCAGAAACCACCCTCCCAACTCCTCACACACTCCACTCACAACTGCACTGCTCCTCCTCCATACTCAAAAGAGATTCTCCACTTTTAAATGTACAATTTGGACGGAATTTAAAAGTGGCACCAATACCCCAGTGTTCCAATTTGCAATATAAAGGATATACAGTCCCTTCTCCTACCATACAGCATTGCCTCTAGCCCCAGATCTTTTCAGTTACTGCTTCCTATTACTTGTGCCCAGTTCTGTCTTGCTTGATTAGACGGGGAGCTCCTTAAATGCAGGCACTGTGCCCAACTCACCTTTGTAGCCGTCAGAGTGCCCAGCGCAGTTCTCTACACAAAAAAGATGTTTATCAAGTGTCTAGGAAAATGTTTAAATAAAGCCCTGGATGAAGTAGCTGTTTTTGAGAACTGGTAAATGTAGGAAGAGATCTAAATGCTCACTCTGCCTTTCCTCATCAAACTGTACCACCGGGTAATGAAATGGTAGATGAGGGGAAGTCTCCCTTCATAGACTACTTCAGCTAATACATGAAGAATGATAGAGTATCTCCCTTTTGCAGCCCTAATTCTGTCATGGATGTAGGTACTGCTCATCAGTGGCTGATGTTGCCACAAATAGAGAACCAGACATTGTGTGCCTCTTGGAGGAAGAATGCATCACCACCTAAAAAGTACTGTTGCTGGAAAAAGACCAAAAAAAACCCCTCAATCTCACAAGCTTCTAGGTTTATCTATCAATAGACAGGAAGTACAGAGGCAGAAGAGCATATAATACCACAGGGATTCAGTCAACAAAATCCAGACCCTAAGAAACTCCACAGGACAAACAACCTATTTCTTCAACAAATAAACTGTGCAAGGGAAACTTTTAGACAGATACATGGATTGATGGGTGGATGGATGGATAGATGGATGGATAGATAGATAGACAGACAGACTTAAAAGATGTATCAACCAGTCACAATATGTGGACCATTTCTGGATCCTGATTTAAGCAAAGTATAATAAACACACTCATACACATATACTACATGGATACCACAAGTGGAAATTTGACAATTGACTATTTGATAAATTTTAAGAACTACTGTTAATTTTTTGGTGTGATAATGGCTTTGTTGTTATACACTTTTAAAGATGTTTGTATTTTTAAGAAACATACTGAAATATTTACAGATGAAAGTATACAATATCTTGGATTTGCTTCAGAATAATATGGGTGGGGGGAAGTGGCTGGGGATACAGATCCAACAAGATTGGGCATGAGTTGATCATTGTTAAAGCACAGGATGTATACATGTGAGTTTGTAATATTATTTTGTCTCATTTTTGGCATATGTTTAAAATTCTCCATAGCAAAATTACTTGCGGGTTTTGGTTTTGTATTGTATTGTTAAAAAGAACAAATAAAGCCCAAGGCCCAGGAGTCCACAAAGAAAAAGAGAGGGAAAAAAGGAGAGCAGGCTTGGCTTCTCGCTCACCTGCACATAGCTCCCCACGCTCTCCTGGTAGATCATAAAGGAAAGCAGGCTGCCCTGGGTGAGCTCCCCATCCTGCATCTGCTGCAGCCCACAGCTCAGCATCAGCATCTGCACCCCCAAGTGCAGCACCTGGAAGAGGAGAAGAAAGAGATGAGGCTGGGAATCTTCCCATTCTTTCCCCCTCTCTGCCTCTATGAGACTGAGCTGCAAAGGCCTCTAGAACCAGCTGTAGTTTCCTCTTCCCTTGCCCTCCCCCTTTCCTGGGCTCCTTTCACAACCACTCTGGTATCTTACCCTCCTTACGAGCAGGTACAAGGCGCGTTCCAGGTCTCTCCGCCAATACAGCTGCCGACATTGTTCAAGGGCCTCTTTATAGCGACAGACTTCATGCTCCTCGGCCCCAAAACTGCGAACGGTCTGCAGCCCTCCAACGGCTTCCCGCACCACCTGCCCCGCCCTGGCCACTGCATCCTGGATCTCCCGAAGCACTTCCTGGAAAAGAGGGCCAGCAAACACCAGGGCTGATGTGCAAAGACAGCAGGCCCCCACATCTTACTCCAGCCAGTGAGATGCTCCCTAGTCTACCTAAAAATACCAAACTGTTTCTCTCCCTCTTCCTTACTCTTCTTTCCAGAAGGAATAAGAGTGAAGGAGCAAGGGAACAAAATATTATTGAGCTCTCAGTGTTAGGTAGTATAGGAGATACATGCAATTTTTTTAACCTTCATTTGAGGTAATTTTCCCATCCCCAGTGTCTGAATTAGGAAAGAAGGGTAGTTTTCCCAAGGAGCCACAGATAGTTAAGAAAGGTGGAGATGTAATTCCAAATGGATCAGAGGCCTAAACATAAGAGCTAACACTATAAAACTCCTAGGAAAATGTAGAAGAAAAGCCTCATGCCACTAGATTTGGCAGTGATTTCTTGGATATAACACCAAACGCACAGGCAACAAAAAATAGATAAATCAGACTTCATCAGAATTTAAAACGTTTGTGCATCAAAGAACTCTAGCAACAGAGTGAAAAAGCAACCATGAAATACAAGAAAATATTTGTGAATCATATATCTGATAGGAAATTAATAGGCAAAACATATAGTGAACTCCCACAACTTAAAAAAAAATCAGAAAATGGGCAAAGAACTTGCAGACATTCTTTCAAGAAAGAAACATAAGTGGCCAAAATCACACGAAAAGATGCTCAATATTTACTAATCATTAGGGAAATGCAAATCAAAACCACAATGAGATAATCCTAATCACCTAATCACCATTAGAATGGCTATTAAAAAAAAAGACAACAGAAAGTGGTGTTGATGAGGATGTGGAGAAATTGGAAACCTTATGCACTGCTGGTGGGAATTTAAAATGGTGCTGCCGCTATGGAAAACTGTATGGTGGTTTGATACGATCTGGCTGTGTCCCTACCCATATCTGATCTTGAATTCCCATGTGTTGTGGGAGGGACTGGGTAGGAGGTAATTGAATCATGAGGGCAAGTCTTTCCCATGCTGTTCTTGTGATATTGAATAAGTCTCACGAGATATAATGGTTTTAAAAAGGGGAATTCCCCTGCACAAGCTGTCTTTTCTCTTGTCTGCTGCCATGTGAAATGTGT
This sequence comes from Homo sapiens, assembly GCF_000001405.40. Classification (NCBI taxonomy): domain Eukaryota; kingdom Metazoa; phylum Chordata; class Mammalia; order Primates; family Hominidae; genus Homo; species Homo sapiens. Next base: position 4,138,816 of record NT_167244.2, read on the forward strand.
CTTTCACCTTCCGCCATGATTTGAGGTCTTCCCAGCCACATGGAACTGTAAGTCCAATAAACCTCTTTCTTTTGTAAATTGCCCAATCTTGGGTATGTCTTTATCAGCAGCGTAAAAATGGACTAATACATGGTTCCTCAAAAATTGTTAAATAGAATTGCCATATGATCCAGCAGCTCCACTTCTAAGTATATACCCAAAAGAACCAAAAGCAGGGTTTCAAACAGGTGTACACTCATGTCCACAGCAGCATAATTCACAACAGCCAAAAGGTGGAAACAACGCAAATGTCCATTGACAGATGAATGGATAATCAAAATGTGATATATGCACACAACAGAATATTATTCAGCCTTAAAAGGGAGGAAATTCTAACACATGCTACAATATGGATGAGGCCTGAAGACATTACGCTAAGTAAAATATGCCAGTCACAAAAAGACAAATACTGTATGGTTCCACTTACGTACCGCACCGGGAGTCATCACAATTCATGGAGACAGAAGGTACAATGGAGGTTGCCAGCGGCCAGGGGTTGGGGGTAGTAGGCAGTTACTATTTAGTGGGTACAGAGTTTCATTTTAGGAAGATGAAAAAAGTTCTGGAGATGGATGGTGATGATGGTTACCCAATAACAATGTGGGTTTCCTAAATGTCACTGAACTGTACACTTCAAATGGTTGAAATGGTAAATTTTATGTTATGTATGTTTTACCACAATATAAGAGAAAAAGAGAAGGTGGAGCTGACATTCAGACTTAGGACTTCCTGATGACGCCTCCTTTCCCTATGCTGCATCCAGACTTCTTCTGCTGATTTTAAAGGGAAAATCTCCCTGCCTAAAAGCCTCTAAGAAACCATTTTTAATCTTCGCAGTGGGGGCGGGGGATGTACAGACTCCTTTGAGAAGCTAATGAAAAGTTATCATCGCCTATCATCTCCCCTTCCTATTCCCTCCCCCATACCTTCACATACACTTTACATTTTTGTTTACAGTTCTGGAGAATCATGAATCTTCTGAAGTCAAATATCCATTGTTGGATGGCTGGACAAACAAAATGTAGTATATACTACAATATACCTTCTCCCCTAATGGCTGAGAAGAGAACATCTCTCTCTAGGGGATCCTCTAGCCACAAATGTGGAAGCCTCCTCACCTGTCAGTTTTATTCTCCCTTTGGGGTTCCCTTACATGCACGCTCACCTGATGGCGGGTGTTGTACACCTTCTCCGCTGCTATTGTGAAGGGCATGTGCAGCAGAGAAAGGAGGGTGAGTCGAGGCGATATGCTGAGCATGAAGCCATACAGCCCCACCACTTTCACCAGGCTTCGCAAGAGCACATTGGCATTTAAAGGAAGCCAGTTACTCATCAGGGTGGTATCCGAGCTCAGCCGTGAGTTCAGCTCCCCTAAGAAGGACAGAGCAGGTGAGGAAAAAGGAAACCATGTGTACTGCAGGGCCCCCAGAAACTCCCTCCTGACCGTTCCCTCTGACACAGCCCCCTCCTCTGAACATCCTCCTTCACTTGCAGAGGGACAGTGGAGGCTGCTTCTCCACCCTGTCCCAAACAAGAGAAAAGCATCCCCAAGTCCTGGCATACGGGTGAAGGCAGGAGGAGAGGCTGTGGGTGGAAGGTCACTGAGGGGCAAGGGATGTCCATGGGAATCTCAGACCTGGACTCCAGGCCCCACCTGTCTTAGTCTCCTGGAAGAAACCGAGGTCCTGGCGCAGCAGGGAGGAGAAAAGCTGCTCCCGGATCCGCAAGTTGATTCGAGACATGGTGTAGGTGAAGCAGCCTCCTCGGCAGCCTGCAGACAGTGAGCTGTGGGGTAGGAGAATAAGAGGGGAGGGAGATGCAGAGAAGGAGCAAGCCAGCGGGTGAAACAGAGGAGCAAGCCAGGAGTGCAGAGAAGCGCAAAGTCAGGGGAAAGCATGCCAGGAGGGGCAAAAGAGAAAGAAATGAGAGACAGACACACAGAGAGAGAAGAGGTAAGGAATACACAGAGGAAGAAGAAAGAGGAGACATGGTGAGCTAGATGTGAGAACAAAATCATAACATGTACAAATTTACAAGTATTTATGGAGTGCACTCTGTACTAGACACAATAGAAGACTACAATAGAAGGGAAAAGATATTGTGAAAACAAGTATCCCAGTGCTTGCTTCTGTCCCAGCGTCCCTCAGGCTTGTCCCTCTGTGCGTCTCCTCCGCCTTGGTCTCCTTCCTGCCCCATACCCAAAGCCCTTCTCTGTCATCATAGATACTTCATCATGGGAACTGCAATAATAAATTCCCTGCCCCCACAATTCTCTGGAGCCCCAGAGTCATGTGATTCCCATCTTTCATCCTTCGAGTTGGAAAATCCCTCTTAGACCAACTACATGCTACAGTAACACTTAGAGGAAAAAATATAAAGCATAAAAGCATGTATTTTACAAAATATATGTTTCTAATACAAATTTAGTTACCATATTGAAGAGGCGTTTGGAATAGTCAGACATGATATAATGAGGGTTTGTACTTTAATGACAGGGATGTGTTCTGAGAAATGTGTCGTTAGATGGTTTCATCGTTGTATGAACATCATAGAGTGTACTTACACAAACCTAGATGTCATAGCCTACTGCACACCTAGGCCATGTAGTTTAGCCTATTGCTCCTAGGCTACAAATCTGTACAACATATAACTGCACCTAACACTGTGGGCGACTGTAACACAGAAGTAAGTATTTGTGTATCTAAACATAGAAAAGGTACAGTAAAAATATGGTATTATAATCTTGTGGGTCCACCATCTTATATGTGGCCCATCATTGACCTAAACTTCGTTATGCAGTGCACGACTGTAGTTTCAGCAGAAAGCAGCCAGGATGGAATGAAGGCACAATGAAATGGTTTTCGAGGGTACTCTAAATTAAGTATGACCATAAAAATAGAGACAATCAGGCCGGCTGGGATTTGGGTAAGGTGAGTGCACACCTCCTTAAACTTTGCACCCCAGGTGCCTCGCTCACCTCATCCCAGTCCCAGCCTTATCAAACAGTTTGTTTGTTTGAGTATGTCTAGAAAGAGAAAGGAAAGCAAGTGAAGGGAAAAGAGTAATGATTCTGGAAAGAAAGGTGATAAGCCTCAGAGTAAGATCTTCAGGGACTGGCAAGATGAGCTGGGAAAGAAGAGTGAAAGGGAGAAGCATACCCATCCTGAGGGAGTGACCCTGGAGAGATACTTTGGAGACAGACTTAGGGGTAGGAGGTAGGAGGCAGAAAGAAATGGAATTTCATGGACCTAGGAATGTTGAGAGACAACTGAGAGACATTCCATCTGAGACTTAAATTCCTTTTGTACTACCTTCACTCATAACTTGTTCCTATAATAAGATCAGATAAACTTTGAAGATATTGGATGAATATGAACGAAGGAAGAAATGAATGGATAGATGAAACAGAATGGTGACTACATTCACCATATTTTAGTTTAAGTATTTTTGTGTTTTGCGCCTGAAAGGGCCTAGAAATGGAGTTAGGGAAGTGAAGACCCCTATAAAGATTTGGGGCTAGCAAATGGACCCAGCTGCCCACTACCTACCTGCCAAAGGAGAAGAGGCACATGAAGAAGATGGCACTGGCAAAGGCATGGGGGTCAAAATCACCTCCCAGGATGTCAATCACACGACCAGAATAGTGAGGGATTAATGTCTCACCTGAAAGAGGCATGAAAAATAACACAAGAATGTGCTGGTGCGCAGGCCCTTTTACCACCTCCAACTCACAACGTCCTCTCCTGACTCACCCAAAACAGCAAGGACAAGGAAGAAGAAGGCGGCAACGAGGAGAGGCAGGTCCGGCCTGGAGAGCTTCAGCAGCCTCCACATCAAGACTTTGTTGTTCACCTGGTCCTGCTCCTTCTCCTGGGCTCCAGGAGGGCTCAGAACAGCCCACAGTGACCAGCTGAGCCCCGCAGCCCCGTACCCCACCAGCAGCCAGCTCCAAGGGGCTGAAGCGACTCTGGCTGGGGGAGCACGTGAGGCCCCCGCGACCAGGGCTCTCAGGGAGACAGTCAGGGGGGTGGCCAGACAGAGCGGGAGCAGCAGTGTCCCCACAAATCCCAGCAGCCCTCTTAGCTTTAGCAGCCCCCACAGCCCTCCCAGCCGCAGGGTCCCCTCCAGCCATAGTCCTGGCAGCCCTTGAGGAAGCAAAGTCCCCAGAGGGCCCTGAAGCAGCCACAGTAAAGCCGCGTCCACCAGCAGCAGGGAGGTCCAGGGTCTCAGGTCAGGGAGCCGCATGGCTCTGTCAACGGATACGAGATGAGAAATCATGGGGGTGGAGTCCCAATCCTTGTCCCTGCCCTCCTACCCGCCCGGCTCCGCCTAACCCGTCCATCGGCTTCTCATTTCATCCTATTCAACCCTGAGAGCTCTCCTGAGTAACCGGTGCTCATCCGTACACCCCTCCTACGACAGACAGCTTTCGGCCTTCTGGGGAGCTGGAAGCATGACCATCAGGAGCCTCGTGCTTAAAAAAAAAAAAAAATCCCCGGACCCCCACCCCCACCCCCGCCTGCCGCGGCGAGCTAAGTGGTCCGGGCTCCGCTCCCTCCTATCGCCGGGTGCAGAGGGACTGGGAAGCAGGAGCGTGGAGTGGGTAGTCACTTGGGCTGCGTTCCTGTTGGCGCTCCAGGTTCCCCTCCGCACCAACTCACCAGCCGCGGCGGGGAGACCGCAGCTCCGGGGGCTTCTGCTTCAGCGCTGAGGTCCGCTCCGTCTCTCCCAACCTCGCTACCGGCTCTGGTCCGCCAGCTACGCTCGGCCAGGGCGGGCGTCAGGGCTCGGGCAGCTTTCGCTTTCGTTTCCCCAACCAAGGCCTTCATTCTGGGCTGGGCCGCCGGGAGGGGGCGCGCGAGACCCGCAGACAGCGGAACTGGAGCCCGAACTCTGGTTCGCACTGTACAGGCCTGCAATGAGTCTCACTCGCCTTTAGTGGCGGTTACTCTGGGATATAAAACTGCAAAAATGTTTCTTTATCATTAAGTAAAATACAGTTGTCTCAAGGGCAACTGTATCTGTTGTCCTTGCTTTGTAATTGGAGAATGCTTTGTAATTGGAGAATCACTGAATTTTCTCAAAGTTACTACTTCAAGCTCTGAGCCTACTATTAAGAAGTGCCTTCTTTCTGGTCCGGCGCGGTGGCTCACGCCTGTAATCACAGCACTTTGGGAGGCTGAGGCGGGCGGATCGCCTGAGGTCAGGGGTTCGAGACCAGCCTGGCCAACATGGTGAAACCCTGTCTCTACTAAAAATACAAAAATTAGCCAGGGCGTGGTGGCGGACGCCTGTAATCCCAGCTACTCGGGAGGCTGAGGCAGGGGAATCGCTTGAACTCAGGAGGCAGAGGTTTCAGTGAGCCGAGATCGGGTCATTGCACTCCAGCCTGGGCGACAAGAGTGAGACTTCGTCTAAAAAAAAAAAAAAAGTGCCCTCTTCCATGCAAGCTCCAGTTTTAGGCGAGCGAGCCGGGCTCTCCTAAATAGAAGGTTCCAACCAATCTCACCAGGCCAAAGGGGATTTTCACGTACAGACTTTGAATTTAGTAGGCCCTGAGCGTTCATCTTCATCCGTCCTTCTCAGCCGGAGCACCTTGAGCTGGCGCGTGTTCAGGTGCCTCTGAGTCTGTACTCCAAATTATGTTGGGCGCACCTTCAGCCTATGAGGGAAATGCCCGGTACTGGGCTTTGGTTCTTGTTCTATTTTAACACTGTTTAGAACAGTAATTAGGTTTTTAAATATCCTTCCTGTCCCAGAGCCTTCCTATGCAACAGAAAGATTCGTTTATTCCAGAAAGGACTCTTCAGATTGAAACCACCTCCCAAACTAAAAACAAACAAACAAACAAATTCCCCAAAGGAAGGGTCGCTTGGATTCCAGATCACCATTTTGAAATGTTACCTGTGTGACTACCAAGGAGTCACTTAAAGTTTAAAATAGTGGTGGTGGGGAGGAGGGATTTTAAGTAGGGGCTCGCTAAAGTTTTACAACTCTATTCATTCTGGCATTTTAAGAATCTCTCTCTAATGAAAAAAGCTCCATGCTCAAGCTCATGCTCCTACTTTCAAGCATTTGTTTCCTTTATTTTCTGGAAAGTGACATGGTCCATAGTTCCAGCATGATTCCGAAAATCTCATGATGTGTGTCTCTTTCTTCTAACCTGGATCTTTTACATTTTCCCCACACTCCTCACTTAGGGGAGTCCTCCTGATCTCTTCTTCCTCTAAAATTATAGTCCTGCCATCTTGCAATTCAGCATGACACATCATGAAATTAGACCCTTAATGTCTGTCTTTATATTCAATATCCAATATCTCCAAAGTGTTATTTGGGATAAATGGTATGGTGTTTATATGATTACCATATTAAAGTGAAGTGGAAGCTTTTTCATCCTACTCTATAAAGTCAAAAACAGTTATCCTAGGTGCCCTACTCCCTGTTCCTCAAACCATTAACAATGGAGCACACAGGAGTCCCCAGGTGCCTCTCTATGGAAAGGACCCTAACCTATGTGAAATTGCAAACAAGTGTCCATGGACAGCAATGAGCAGCCTTCCTGAGGTCTTGGAGAGATGAGTGTGGAAGGAAACCCCAGGAAGAACTATGTGGTGAGGCCACATTTCTTAGATAGGGGTCTGAGCCCCTTCTCCAGAAAAAGCGTCTCTTTACTTTCTGCCCCACCCAACAACCACAGGCCCAACCCCATTCAGCCACAAGACAGAGGTATTTATAACCGTTTTTCTTTATTCTACTTAGTGGGGCACCCAGAAACTTCCCTGGGGGAAATGCTTGTTCAAATAGAGAACACGCAGAAGATGCACTTCACCGGCCTCCTCTGGCTGCTGAGCCCGTACTCTCTCTTTGGCTCAGGCTAGGCCTCTTCTTCTCCTTGGACTTAACGTGGCTTAGGTCCCTGAGTCGGCCAAGACCTCCCAGAGGAGACCTGCCCAGCTGCCACCACCACCATTATTGATTGGCTTCCCGGTACTGGTGCAGCAGGTCACTGACATCTGTACTTTCTACTTTCACCCAACCATCTTCCTTCATGTGGTACACTGTGGACAAATGAGAAAAGAACATGGAGTCACCTTTCACCTCAGCAAGTTCCTGTCACTGATGTTATGTTGAAGGCAGCAACAAGACACATGCGCAAGCTTAAAACCATATGACTGGGCCTTTAATGCCCTTCTTCTGACTCTGAAAATTTCCTCCCTACTACTCTCCCTCCTTTGAGTCTCTCAATCATTTTCTTTTTTTTCTTTTGAGAAGGAGTCTCACTCTGTGGCCCAGACTGGAATGCAGTGGCACCATCTTGGCTCACTGCAAGCTCCACCTCCCAGGTTCAAGTGATTCTCCTGCCTCAGCCTCCCAAGTAGCTGGGACTACAGGCACCCGTCACCACGTCCGGCTAATTTTTGTAGTTTTAGTAGAGACGGGGTTTCGCCATGTTGGCAAGGCTGGTTTCTCAATCTTAAATCACCCCCCCCACCACCCGCCGACTCCTCCCAGGCATGGTGGTGGGAGCATTGGTCTCTTACTATTGACAACGCCTCCAGAATAGCTGTCTCTGTGAGTGGCATAAGCAATAGCCCTGCGGCCAAGGTCATAGGCCTCTTCAGGGCTAAGATTAGGCCGATAGCCACTGTCCATGACCCCGTAGGCATAAGTGTTCCCACTACCCGTGGAGAACATATTTCCTGAGAGCCGAGTCCCATGTTCATCCACGTAGTAGAGTCCAGGACCCTATAAGATGAAAGATTTCAGGCTGAAATTGGAGAGGAAGATGTTGGTAACATGGGGGTTCAAATATGAGACATAAAAAGTGAACAAAAGAATTAATATTACCACAAGAACATTGGAATTAGGAAACCACTTTGGTAAAGTCATCGAACTTTAGAAATGAAAAAGGAAAAACAAACTTGAAATCAACTGTTTAACAAAAGGGACAAGCTTACAAAACACATGCAATGATTCATATCTGGGCCAATAAATAGTCCATGGATATACTGAAACAGTTCTATAACCAAGCACTCTATATGCCATGCATCTTGTCAGGGAGGGAGTAGGAGTATATGATGGGAAACAGATCTGTCATCCATAGGGAACATGGTGGGGGAACATGAAGAATGGAGAGCACCCACCTTCTTATCCCAGCCACAGATCATACTGCCCATAGAGAGGCCCATGCCCCGGTACTGGCACATCATGTTGGACAGCAGCTTGGAGGCTGCCGACACTGAAATACGTTCTCCATTTCGCAGATAGTACAGCCTGGGTGAGGACAAGGTGGAGTGAGGAAAGAGAGGTTAGCTCTTTCCAACTTGATGGGGCAGGAAATGATTAAAGAGATAAGCATTGGAAAGGAATTATTTTGTAGGATCTAAAGATCAGAGAAAGATTTGGAATTTAAAGTATCTGAAACATACAAAGGCAGCCTAGTAAATGATACTGTCCCGCCAGGGTGGATGTGTCAGTGCTAAATACCTGACGTACTATCTGGCTTATGAGTGGAGCACAGGCTGAGATTTGGGAGAAGGGTCTTATCACCAAAAAGCTGTTTTGTGAAATATACTATTAGCACTAAGATGGACCACATAGGACAAGAGTAAGGAGCAATGATCTGAGAGATCCAGGGATTAACCACTAGGCTAAGAAAGGAAGATGAGAGGCCTCACTTACCTGCATTCCTTGGCCAGCAGGCGCTCCCAGTACTGACAGTCTGCTGCACAGCCAGACATGGTGCCAAGCAGGTAAGGGTTAATCTCAATCACCTTGTTCACCCGTAAGGCACCTGGAAGAAGATGGAGCTTTGGGAGAGAAGGGATGACCCCATAGATCCCCCAGTGTGTCCTAAATCAATATCCACTTCCACTTTGTTGCAGAGTTGGCCTCCTGTGGAAAGGAGAGCCCAGCTCCCCAGATTCTGCCTGCTGGAGCGTATACACTCACTAATGTAGGACCCAGCTGAGGCCCGAGAATCCACTGCTGCAATCACTCCATGCTGGAACTTGAAGGCGAGCGTGGTGGTGCCATGGGCCATCTCAATCTGAACGTTCCTTTCTCCGTCCCCACCCAGGGACTGGAAGAATTCTGTGGGCTGATAAGAGAAAAGAGGTTGAGAAAGGCAATGAAAAATTCTGTAGTAAGAGGCTCCAGGAAAAGGTTTTAGGGAGTATGAGGGTGAGGAGATATGCAGAAATGATCTAACCATCAATAAATGAAACAGTTAATAACCAATCTCTAGAAGGAAATGGCTTGGGAGAAGGAAAAGAAGAGGCATGCCAGTATCAACCTTTTCCATTTTCCAGCACAACAGAAATGAAAGCAAGCACATGTTACCATTACTAAAAAATTTTGAGAGTGACTTAAAGGGTTTCTTCCATGCATAAAGCATTCAACCCTCACAAAACACGTTTAGTAACAGTATCCTCACTTTACAGAAGAGGGGCTTGGGACCTAGACTAAGTGACTTGTTCTAAGTCGCGCAACAGTGAGTTGCTGAGAGGAGGCCAGCAGGCAAATTTCATAGGTTTCCCAAGACACCACACACCTCCTATATCATGTGATAACCCCATGAAAAAGGCTCCACCATTTGTGTGTGGACAAGGGCAGGGAAGTTCTCTTGTCTTCCTTTGGGAGCCCCCACCTCACCTGTAACTCTTTGTCCTAACTTGCACTTCCTCCTCTCAGGCCCCATCCCCATGTGGCCTCTTCTTTGGGTCTGGCGCTCTCCGGGACTGAAGGCTACCCCCGACCCTGTACCCCGCGCTCCCGCTCTCGCCTCCTCCTCTCAGGCGACCCTCCACTCCTCAGCGCCCGCCTCCCTGCATCCCTAGGGGCTTCCCTACTGCCCCGACCTGCATTCCCCGGGGTAAAGCGAGCTCTGGAGATCGCATAGAGAAACTGTAGTGTCCTGGGTCCGAGCGACGCCCGCTTCCCGCAACCGGGAGAGCCGATTCCGGCCGCTGCCCTCGGGGGGCTCCGCATACATCTAGTAGCGCCATGACCGCCCAGCACCCAGAGATCTGTCCGCTCTCGGAGGAGGAAGTGAAAGCGAAAGCCACAGATCGAAGGGGAGGGAACAAGACTCTTTTCCACATCCCCCTGCCTTTTCCGAGAAAAGGACAGTTAGTGCCTGGACCAGGACCATCACACTGGGGACCGGCTTCTCTGCTCTCCCGTTATGGGGGTCGGGGGAATGATGGGTCAAGGGTCTTCCGAAGAAAGCGAGAAAGGAACAGGCGCCTTCAAAAGCCCACTTGGCGATGGGTTACAGTAAGAGGTACCTCCAGGCCCGGGCATCCGCTGGAAACAGGGGTGGGTAGGGTCGTGTCATCTAAAGGCGCAGCTTCAACCAGAAGACTAGAAGTCAGCCAGGAGCTGGGAGTAGTGTCACGCGGGGTGGGGGTTCCTATGAGCATCACTTTACAAAACCAGGAGGGACGGAAGTGCGAGGGGGCAGAGTCTTGGAAACAGGTCCTGGGCCAACTGCAACAGAATATACCCGCCGCGTGTAGGGGAAGGCGGCGCCAGGGAGAGGGCGCAGTCTCTGAATCTTTCCACGGGGTCCATCCTAGGGCCCCTCCAGGTTCAACGGTCTCCTAACCTGTAGTCACCCACAAGAGCGTGCCCTTTCTGCCCGCCCTTCCTAGCGTTGCTCCCTGCTTGGCTGAGCACTGCGGAGTTTCACGCCTCTAAACCCCGCCTCTTCTTGCAACCTGTGTTGGCCTCATCTACCCAGCAACTGTCGACGTCACACGACCTGGGCCTCCCTGAATGGGAGATATTTACTAGGCAATCCCGCCTACTGTTCTGAGGTTTCCCCTCCAGGTGCAGCTTCAGAGCCAGGCGAGCCAGGAAGGACCAGCGGGCGAGGTGGTGAGTTGTGAGGCGCGCCCAGTCCCTCTGTTCCCGCCTGGCACTTGCTCTGGCCGCGCCCGCCCCATCTGCCACTTCGGAGAGGCCACGGCTCTGAGCTGCGGCCGCTAGTGCCCTGATGGGCCCTGTGGCTGGGGTCTTGCACATTCTTGGGGGTGGGCCTAAGGGGATAGGGGAAGTGGAAGGGGCCTCATAGGAATTAAAAAGCTTAAGGGAAAAGGTGATGCAGTTAGGGGGTAAAACATTGAGGATGATAAAAGAGGAGACACCCGCAGCTGAAAAGTGCGCTGCAAAAGGCAGTGGGCCGTTTGGTGTGCCGGAAACATAAGAAACCACAGTACAAAACACCAATTTTATTATAAATATCAAGAACCTACAGGGTGTTTATGGGCCAGCATATGCCTTCAGTTATGTTGAAAATAGCTGATCATCTTTCCGTACATTCTGAACATTTCTCAGTTTCAGAGTGCTGGCCACACCAAAGCATCAGCCCTGGCTCTAAACTCCGTTACAGTAAGGAATTACAAATCCTGTGTTTGTACTCCAGGAAGTCTGCATTATCACGAGGAGCTTGGAAAGGAGGTAACACACTCAAGGCAAATTTCAAGTAACTCATCCTGGAGGCAGCTGCCTACTCTGCAGCTGTGGTTCTCCACCACAGAGAGAAGAAAAGGGAGGGAGATGGAGTGCGCAGGTCTGAGAAGGCTTTCATTCTGGAGCATCTGCAGGAGCCTGCACCATGGCCCAGTAGCACCCCTTTTTCTCCATGAGCTGCTGGTGGGTTCCCCCCTCCCGGATAGCGCCTCCTTCCAGAAAGAGGATGTGGTCAGCCTGCTCCACCAGGCTGAGGTGCTGGGTGATGAGAAGCACTGAGCGGGAGTACCGCTCAGGGCTTTCGTACAGGAGCTGCTCCACCTGAGGAAAGACATCGGACCGTCAGAGCCGGGGACTACCCTCAGCCCAGGGAGACACCTGTGTTTCCAGGGCTGGGACTGACCTCACAGGATCACTGCTGGCTCTGCTAACAACCCCAAGGACACCAACGTTTCCCATTCTGAGTACTTCTCCGCAAACCCTTTGTTTCATTAAGGACTGTTTTACATGAAGGGTGCAAAAGTAGGATAAAAATGAGAACCCTAGGGTGAAACACGTGACAGAAGAATAAAGACTATTGAATAGTCCTCTTCTCTACCCATGGACTTGGCATTTTTATATTCGATTTTAAGGAAATATAACTTAGTAGTAAAGAGATGAGCATTCAAGTCAGGCAGACCTGAATTTGGGTCAAGGCTGCGCCACTCAAAAGCTATATGACCTCTATATGAGCAGCTTATTCAACCTCTTTTAACCTCCATTTTGTCATCTGTAGAATGATGATAAATGCCTAGCTCAGAAGGATTCCTAATGAATAAATGAGTGACAGTGCATGTAAACAGACTAGCTTAATTAATATTAATATGATTAGGATGGGCTGGGCCCAGTGGCTCATGCCTATAATCCTAGCACTTTGGGAGGTCAAGGAGGGAGGATCACTTGGGCCCAGGAGTTCAAGGCCAGCCTGGGCAACATAGCGGGACGCTGTCTGTACAAAAAATAATTTTTTTAAATAAACGATATTATGAGGATGGTCTTTTCCTTATGTTTCGCTTTAGAAATTCAGTCTATAGGACTGGGCGCAGTGGCTCACACCTATAACCCCAGCCCTTTGGGAGGCTGAGGGGGGCAGATTACCTGAGCTCAGGAATTCAAGGCCAGCCTGGGCAACATGGTGAAACCCATCTCTACTAAAAATATAAAAGCCAACCAGGCATAGTGGTGTACACCTGTAGTCCCAGCTACTCGGGAGGCTGAGGGGAGAATCGCTTGAGCCCAGCAGGTTGAAGCTGCAGTGAGCCAAGATTGTGCCACTGCGCTCCAGCCTGGGCAACTGAGTGAGACACTGTCTTAAAAAAAAAAAAGGAAAGAAAGAAAGAAATTCAGTCTGTAGTTTGTAGATAGTCTCTTTTAACTGATTCTAGGTGTCTTTGCCTCGTCTTCTATCTCTACTCCTTGGGGAGGCATCCAATGGAACTGGATTTGGGAACTGAGAACTGCAAGGACTGGTTTGTATAATTATGATGTTAGTAAAACTAACAGAAGATGTATAAAAGAAGCAAGATTGGGTGGGATATAGCCATTAAGAAGATGACTGCCTCACCTGTAACTGGCTGTTTGCATCCAGGGCACTGGTGGCATCATCCAGGATAAGTACACACGGTTTCCGGATCAATGCTCGGGCCAACGCCACTGCCTGTCGCTGACCCCCTGACAGCTGGCTCCCAGCCTCGTCTACCTCTGCAGAGCAAAGGGCCAAGATGAGAACGGTATAGCCACATGTGTGCACGCATGTACATGCACACAGACACACTCATGCATTCACGCACTCACACACACCAAGATCTGACGGTTGTAGCTGGATAGGGGAGATTCTGGGAAGATGAACAGAATCCTGAGGATGTCAGGATGAAGAAGCCATAGGAGCATGATCTTACAACTTCAAATTGATGTCCATGAGTAAGGAGGAACTGAAGGATAAAGGCAAGACTACTGGGGTTTCAGCAAAGGTAAAGATGGCTGGGTGGTGAGATGAGTGGAGAGAGTACCTGTGTCATAGCCCTGAGGGAGTCCAGAGATGAAACTATGGGCCCCAGACTTTACTGCAGCAGCTGTGATTTCCTCCATAGTTGGCTTCTGGGTCAGGCCATAGGCAATATTTTCTTGAAGACTTCTTCCAAATACCTGTGGCTCTTGTCCCACTGCAGCCACCTGAGATGAAATATGATGAAGAGTCATAGAACAAGGCACATGGGAGTATGGTTATCTAGAGATCGAAGACTCAAAATCTTTATTGAGAACATGTCACAAAATCATACTACCTCCCTCCTGACTACACCACCATCTCCACCCAAGGTCTCTTATCATTCCCTAACCCCTCTTTCAGAGTGCTCAGTAAGAATGCTCTTCGTATTTGATGCTCCCTGCCCTCCTTCAAGCCACCTGCTTCCATACCTGCCTGTGCAGGTAGCGGTGCTCATATTGGGGAAGGGGCTTCCCATCCAACAGCAGCTGTCCCCCGGTGGGCTGGTACAGATTCTGCAGCAGGGCAGCCACTGTGCTCTTCCCAGACCCATTGGGTCCCACCAGCGCCGTCACCTCGCCAGGGCGTAGGGTGAATGTCAGCCCCTAGAGGCCAGAGAAGCACACGATAAGAGGCTACCAAGGCCTCTAACCTTGAGAGTGTCATTGCCTTGTTACATAGCATGATGTCTTACCCCAGAAGAAAAACAGGGAAATATAGAAACTCCTACCCTCCCACATGCACAGATTTCTGGGTGATGCCTCCCCAAGGAGTAGAGATAGAAGAAGCAGCAAAGACAAGGGCAGAGACCCAGCACCACTATGCCACACACTTGATGTCAGATACCACCAGGAAAGGGAAAAATCACATTCCAAATTACAAAGGAAAAGGAAAGATGGAAGACCGAAGACACAGATTTTGCTGCAGCAATTCCTTGGAACGTGAGAGCACTCTCTTCGAAACCTCTTCTCTCATTCTCTTTGGAAGCCCAAACTGGGTTCTTGAGTTTGGGGAAGATTTATGGAACAGATGATGCCTACCATTGCCTTTAAAGGGTTAGGGAGGATATATGCTTGGCAGTAAGCAGGCTGAAGGCAGGAAGAAAATTTAGGATGGCAGAATTGCAGTTGGGGCCAGTGGAATACAGGGAGTGGTAGGTTGTACCTGTAGCACTAAGACATCTGGGCGGTTTGGGTAGGCAAAGGAGACATCTTGGAACTGGACAAGGCCCTCCAAGTGTAAGGGAGTCAACAGACCACTGGGTGGGCAGCGAGGGGTGCGGTCCAGGTACTCAAATATTTTCTCTGAGGAGCCCACAGCCTTCTGTACTCTGGGGTAGATGGAGAGCAGTACCTAGAGGGAGGTAAGAATAGTGAAAGTGAGGTAGTCTGCTTGCCAGCATTATGTGAAGCAAGAAGGGTAAAGAATGGAAGGACATCACACAGATGGTGCTGGGCCAGAGGAAGGAATCACACTGGGGAGTGAAGGTGGAGGGACCTCACCTCCACAGCCTGGGTGAACTGCATCTGGTAGAGAACAAATGTGACAAGGTTCCCACTGCTTACAGCCCCACTGGTCACCAGCTGCCCACCAATGTAGAGGATTCCCACTTTCAGCAGCATACCTGAAATCTATAAAGAGACCACAAAAAAAGGGACTGAGGTAGAGAAATCTGGAGGGGACACAAAGAACCACAGTCATTAACCTGAAGGAAATATCAAGTCCCTGTCTCCTAAGTGACATCGGCAGGCTCAATAGGCAGACAGGAGAATGAACCAGAGACCCCATGGAGTCTGACTCAATGCACATCATGCAAGTCACAGTTATCTTCACCACCATCACCACTATCACCTTGTCTGGGGAGCATTTTACTCTTCACAAAAGGCTTTCATTCATGTGATGTCAGCTAATACATGAAGAGCCTTATAAAGAAGGTTATATCACTCCATTTTTGAAAAATGAGGAAACAACCAGTCGGGCGCAGTGGCTCATGCCTGCAATTCCAGCACTTTGGGAGGCCGAAGTGGGCGGATCACAAGGTCAGGAGATTGAGACCATCCTGGCTAACACGGAGAAACCTCGTCTCTACTAAAAATACAAAAAAAAAAAAAATTAGCCGGGCGTGGTGGCGGGTGCCTGTAGTCCCAGCTACTCAGGAGGCTGAGGCGGGAGAACGGCGTGAACCCGGGAGGCGGAGCTTGCAGTGAGCCCAGATCGCGCCACTGCACTCCAGCCTGGGCGACAAAGCGAGACTCCAGCTCAAAAATAATAATAATAAGTAAAAATAAACAAACAAACAAACAAATAAATAAATAAAGAGGAAACAGTCTCAGAGAAGGTAAATTTGTTGTCATGATCACAAGACAAGTAAATTGCATCATCAAGCCAGGATCTTCGGATCACTGGCGTAGCTCTCTTTCCAGTGCATCACAGATGTCCCTCATCCCTGGCTTCCACTATTCCCATCACTCTCACTAACAAATCTACAAGGTACCAGCATGAAGCAGTCCCAGGTGCAAGAATTTATGGCGCCCTGCACTTCCCCTGAGAGGCAAAGGAAGGCCCTAGGACTGGAAGACACGCATCTCTCCAATCCACATGGTTGGGTGGATTTTATGTACCATACTGAAAGGAAGCCACCTAGCATCTTTAAAGAGAGGGAGGGGGCTAGGGACACTGAGTAGAGTCATTGAGCCTCAGGTTGCTAGGACGAAAATACTGAACCAACCATTTCCCAGTAAAGGAGGAGTGGGAGCAGGGTCATAGGAATGGGAATGGAGTCACGGCATCTTAAGGACAAGGGAATGGGTATTCATCTTCAGGTGCTCACACTAGTGGTCCAGGAGTTGACTGCATAGGCCACAGCCTCCTTCTGGTTGAGTGTCTTTATTTCTTGCAGCTTTTCCCTAAACTTCTGGGCTTCGCCCTCCTCGTTGGCAAAGCTTCGAACTGTAGGCATGGCCGACAGAGCCTCAATGGCCACCTGGCTGGACTTTGCCAGAGATTCCCGCACCTGCACTTCCAGCAACTGTGGATACATGGACAAGAGATGTCACACGGGTTGGCAAACCATCAGGGACACTAATACCTGAGTTACCTATTTGGAAATTAAAGGTGAGAAGAGACAGAGGAAAAGGAGAAAAGAGAAAGAGACACAGCTATGCCCCTTGGATGCTAAAGAAATACGAGGAAGAGGAAAATGACTCAGAACGGGTTGGGGATCAAATTCTTAAAGACAGATTGTGGGGAGAAGCTAGAAAAGAAGACCCAGAGAGTATGGAGGTTAATGTTGAGCAACCTGGGAACATGGACCACAGGGACAGGGTGTTCCATGAAGATGGAGAATCAGTAAGGGTGCCAGGAAAGCTGGACTGAAAGCAATGTGAGAGGAACTGAGTCTGCCAAGTCTGGGAGATGAGGGTCTGTGTAGAGCGGGCCAACTCCATGAACATACCTGGTACCATTTTCCCACCTTCTTGGGCAGAAGGAAAAGCAGAGGCAGGGTGATCAGGGTGACCATGGTGAGGGACACTGATCCCCAGAGCATGATCCCCAAGAGACATAGGCCTCGCACCAGGTACCACAGAAATAAGCTCAGATTCTCACTCAGAGAATCACTCAGGGTGGACGTGTCCTCTGTTACCCGAGACATGATGTTACCTGCAGGGTTGGGGAGAAGAGAGTGAGGTGAATCAGACAGGTTCCAAGTGATGAGACGAACTAACAATGAGCCAGGATGCCAGGGTCAGGGGTGTCAACATGGGGTTCTAAGGAGGCTGCAGGAAACAAGGTTAGGGTTCTCCAGAGGTCTGCAAATCTCAGTGCAGGGAAGATGAGTGTTAAAGAGGAAAGGCCTGACCTTCATTTTAATTATAAAGTCATTAATGCACATGTGAATTTCCATTTTCCTGAAAGCTTTCTGTTCCCTAGAGAACCTGTATGTCCCATGCTATACACACAGGCAGGAAGAGCTTAAACTGGTCACATAACAGAGATGGAGGAGGAGGGTGCTGCTAGGAAGCATGCCAAAGTCTGTGGAGCACTCACTGGGACTAGGGTTCTAACCCCAGGTCTATCTCTAGCCATATGTAACTGTACAGCTTCTAGTGCTGCTAGAAAGCATGCCGAAGTCTGTGGAGCACTCAAGAGACCAGGGTTCTAACCCCAAGTGTGTCTCTAGCCATATGTAACTGTGCAGTTTCAGCATTTAGGGTCTTGGCCTCAGTTTCCTTCTCTGTCAGATGAGGCAGTTGGTCTCTATGAGCTCAAAATTTCCAGGTTTGAAATTCTATGGTTTCTATCTAAGGATACATAGGAATAGATTTATAAGAAAATGCTAGATGAAAACTCTAGGTTTTTCTTAAGGTAAGGAGGACAATATTTTGCTCCTGAGGTATATCAAGAATGAGAAAAACAATTGTGTGTGTGTGTGTGTGAGAGAGAGAGAGAGAGAGAGACAGAGACAGAGAGAGAGAGACAGGGAGAGGGTATATCAAGAATGAGAAGGAACAATGTGTGTATGTGTGTGTGAGAGAGAGAGAGCGGGGAGGGGGGAGATCAAAGCAGATGTATGAGGATATGAACAGTACATGGCGTATAATGAAAGAGTTTCAGGAGAAACCTGTCTGGTTCTGTTGGAAAAACTCCGTCTCCTGGCGCAGGACAGCCCCAAACACCTCTCCCTGCAAGTGGCTGTGCACGTGGCCCATGGTGTTGTTATAGATCCCGTCACCCACGAACTCCAGCACTGCACTATAAAGAACCCGGAAAAAAAGGGGATCAGGGTGTGTTCAGGGAACAGACTGAAGGTCCCAGGTATCCCCATATAAGTGCATTTCGGACAGCAGCCCCAACTTCCAACTCCCTCATTTGCAGGGTGCCCCATTTTCAGCCCCCAGACCTGGCTATGGTGAGAATGGACATGAGAGTTAAGTTTCGAGTGAAGGTATCGGCTGAGCCATCTTGTAGAATCCAGTCAGTGAGGCGGCCCGTAAAGAATGGAATGGCCATCTCCCCTGGAGAAAGAGAAGAGAGGTCACGCACAAATATTAAGTCTAAGTAGGTCAGTTCCAGTCAGACTGGCCCCACCACGCCTCCTCCCCCTCACCATTATCCTGGAGGGCATCAGCAGAAAGGAAACACTGACGTCTCAATCCCGAACCTAAATAGGCTGCCCTGGAACTCACTACCCTGTGGTTGCTCTACCAGAACTTTCAGGATTTTATTAGGAAGGCTGGAGATCATGAAGTAGAAAAGCCTCCTGTTAGAGATGAGGATGCCCCGCCCTTCGGCCCCAGAGCAAAGGATTTCCCCGCTTCCGGCGTGGCCCAAAGAATCAAGACCCGGTCAGCAATGGAGCCCAGAACCTCTGGCCCCCGCCAGTCCAGTGCCGTTTCTTCTACACCGAAGTGGTGTTCCAAGACCCACGCTAGGAGTCCTTCTCCTGCTCCACATTTCCCAGAACCCACGCTACTCTACCTTACTGACAATTACCTTTGATTCCTGTCCCAGTCCCCTTGTGTCCTCCCCTCTTGCCCTGCGTTCCCCTTACCAAGAGAGGAGAGGACCACCAGGACCAGGAACAGCGAGAGGCGGCGCGTCTCCGAGCCCAGGCAGCCTAGAAGCCGACGCACAGGGTTTCCAGAGCCGCCCTGACCGCCGGGCACCCAGAGGCTCCCGAGTTTGTGCCACAGGGCTGCTGCGGGCAGTGCCGCTGCATAACTGACAACGAAGGCGGTAGGGTGACTTCCCCAGTGCAGTAGCCTGGTGCTATCCGCGGACCCGGGGGCTCCCCATGAGATCAGCTCTCGGAACAAGGCAAGTCCCGGCAGGGCCAAGCCCAGTGCCGCAGCTAATGGCTTCAAAGCAGCCAGCCAGCCCTGGGCACCTGCGTTTTCGCTCTTGGAGCCAACCGTTGCCCTGAGGACCCCGCAGGCCCCCAGCCAGAGCACGGCCCAGCGGCTCAGGCCCACCGCCCAGACCCGGAGCAGTGGCAGCGCGGTGGGCACCAGCAGGGAGAATATGCGGGGCAGCGCGGTCCGGAGCAGCACCCAGTCGGCGAGAAGTAGCAGTACTGTCCCCAGCCATGCGAGAGAAGCTCCGGGGAGGCAGCGGCACCCGCGGGGAGCGGGACACCTAGAGCTAGCCATTGGCACTCGGACGCCGTCCCGGTCCCGGCCGGGCCTGGGACTCTCCGCGCCCCGGTGGGGCCTGAAGCTCCGGGTACCGCCGAGTCCTCCCCTACTGGCGGCTGGGGGAGGGAACGAGGGCGGGGCTCTCGGAAAGTCCCAGGAACAGGCTGATCCTGCGCTGGCGAGAAGCTCAGCCATTTAGGGGAAAGCGAAATCGAAAGCGGCCGCCTGCTCACTAGATAACGCCTACTTCCAAAAGTGGCCTGCCCAGACTATTTTGGTAGCAAGCGTGGAAATCAGATCTGAGAATCTCGGGAGCAGCCCTGGTGCCCAATTTTCTCCATCACGCACACCCTTCTCGCCTCTCCCTGCCTCCTGCCTTTCCACTTGCACCAGTTTTCCCACCCCAGCCTCAGGGCGGGGCTGCCTCGTCACTTGTCTCGGGGCAGATCTGCCCTACACAAGTTAGCGCCGCGCGCAAAGCAGCCCCGCAGCACCCAGGCGCCTCCTGGCGGCGCCGCGAAGGGGCGGGGCTGTCGGCTGCGCGTTGTGCGCTGTCCCAGGTTGGAAACCAGTGCCCCAGGCGGCGAGGAGAGCGGTGCCTTGCAGGGATGCTGCGGGCGGGAGCACCAACCGGGGACTTACCCCGGGCGGGAGAAGTCCACACCGGGGTAATGGGTCTGGGCTTGAGGGTTGGCAGAGGGGTGGAGGAGATGCAGCGGCCAGGGGACCCTGGAAGCGCGCGCGGAGAAGTGAATGCAGAGACCAACGGGAGCGCAGGGAGGTCGCCTGTAGCAGCCAGCGCTTGCAACCCGCAATGAGCATAGAGTATTTCTTTTCTGAGGGGGGTCGTCTAGAGTGTCCGTGAAGGGACCAGGCACGCGAGGCTGGTGGAAAAAGGGGGTGCTTTGACTCTTAGCTGGAAGCGTCAACGGGAAGCTACTCTAAAGCGCTTTCGCTTTCACTCTGGTCCCGGACAGTGGGGGCTGGTTAAATCAAGAAAGGGGGTTGGGGATGGTGCAAAGAGATGAGGAAATGGTGCCCTGGGTGAAGTAGAACAGCACTTGGGAGAAGGAAATATAGGCACTTATTGAGAAGGACCAACTCATCACACAGACTTTTGATAAACTTGCCACTGGGCAACTCTTAGCCCAAGCACTGATAATGGGCGTTCTGTGTTAACTAGTGATGCCCTTCCCTAGCTTGACCCAGGAAGGCCTCTCCTTGGCCCAGATGCTGCCTTACTCCCTTCCCTGTGTCTTCCCTGCCCACTCCCATGTGCCCACTGGGGGGACTTTGCTTAGGATGGGCGCCTGGGGCAGATGGCAGCCCCAAGACTGGCTGGCTGGCTTCTGCTCTGGACTACTGCCACCACTCGTGGCTTGGGGGCGGCTTTGTTAGAGAGGAATAGCCTCTAACTTGAAGTTAACCCTGTTCTTTGACCCTCTATTCATGATAAGTCTGTCCGTCGGAAAGCATACTCAGAGGAGCGTCCTTTGGGGCCAGAGTAATTTACGGCCTGGTAAGAAAGACACAGTGAAACCACTTATAATTTGGGAAATCTCCCCTCACTGCCAAAAGAGCAGTGGCAAGTAGGAAGTAGAAGTGGAAACAAGGGATAAGAGTTAGACCTGAATTTTAGTCCCAGGTCTACTATTAACTCTGTGTGACTTTGCATAAGTCGTTTGCATTTTCTGTGACTTGGTTTCCTCATTTGAACCGAGGATCTTTAAGGCTCCTTCCAACTCAATAGTAGAATAAATGTAGCTTTATCTTCCCTCACTTCTTCTTGATTCTTTTCTTGACCTGGAAAAGTCAGCTTAAACTTCTCAGTCAAATTATCTCTTGGTACAAATTTACCCCCCTGGCTGCTGAGATATGTATTTACCTCTTGATCGGAAATTCCATAACTGAAACTTTTATTTTCAACCATCTGTATGTGTTCCTTGCTGCTTCTCTCCTGCCTTGCCCCTGGCCATGCTAACCACTGCCCTCCTCGATTTTTTCCAATGTTCAGTAAATTGGAAGAGCTCACTTCTGATGAAATGGGGGGTGAGAGTGGAGGATTGTGGACCAAAAAAAAAAAAATAGACTGACCTTGTTTCCCAAGATCATAGTCAATTACTCTGTGTTGGGTCTACACCACATCTGCACATACTATGAGCCCTTCCGTTGGAGATAATTTTCACTTGCGGAGCTGCTTCACTTCTACCTGTAGGAGCCTCATCTCCACCTCTCTACAGTGGAGAGGATTCCACTAGGCAAGTTGGAACTTAGGGACACAGTTCTTTCTGTGTTGTATCACAGCTGGGCTGTGGCATTCCCCTGCAGCCGGATGAAGCAATAGAGAAAGTGGAAAGATGAAGGGAAAAAAAGCCTGTACTGACAGTCAGCTCTGGCCTGTTACTGTGTAATCTTTGAGCCAGTCACTTCGCCTCTCTGGGAATGTTTCTTCTTCTCTAACATGAGGGCATCAAGGCTGTTCTTGCCCTGACATTCCATATTCTGTGTCTCTGCAGACCACCATCATGGCAGTGGAGTTTGACGGGGGCGTTGTGATGGGTTCTGATTCCCGAGTGTCTGCAGGGTGAGTAAAAGTGAAGATGTATGCATTTGGAAAGAAGCTAATGGCCTCAAATACACACTTTCCTTACCCATTCATGAAAAGACTGGCAAACTGGAGCCTTGGAGGAATGGAGTTGACCTTCCCCAAAAGCCACTATGATAAGCTATTTGGTGGGTGCTTGGGTCTCTGAATTTGTGGAGGAGGATCTGGGGTCTGAATGTGTATGTGACCTGTCCCAGTAGTGTACAGGGATGAGTAAAGGAATAGGGTCTGAGAGGGGGACAGGAGATAGATTTTTGAGGGTCTTCTTTCCATCTGTGCTTAGGGATCAAAAAGATGATTCTGTCAAGCAGATATCTGGTTTCTCATTTACCATATATTGAACTATTTTGTCTCTTCTCCCACTCCTAACCAATTTCCTCACATGCAAAATGAGTATATGGGGTTAGGTCAATATTACTGACATTATGTTCCATAGAACATAACTCTCTCAAGATTGTTAATAGCAAAGAAAATTGATGAGGCATATTTTTCTTACCTTAGCATTTTTTGCTTTGTTATAAAATCTAAGCCTGAAAAATAAGCCTAATTTTGATTAACATCTGCAGTGATTAATAATATCTGAGATGATTATTTGCCTCCTGCTTTAATCCAAGCATTAAACTTCATGCTATTCTCTTGTCAAAGAAATTTGAGAGACATTGAATGATCACCCTCAAAAATTCCTGAGTTCTGGTTGGGTGCAGTGGCTCACATCTATAATCTCAGCACTTTGGGATGCCGAGGTGGGCAGATATTTGAGGTCAGGAGTTTGAGACCAGCCTGGCCAACATGTTGGGACCTTGTCTCTACTGAAAATACAAACATTAGCTGGGCTTGGTGGTGGGTGCCTGTAATCCCAGCTATTCGGGAGGCTGAGGCAGGAGAATCACTTGAACCAGGGAGGCGAAGTTTGCAGTGAGCCCAAGATTGATCCACTGCACTCCAGCCTGGGTGACAGAGTGAGACTGTCTCAAAAAAAAAAAAAAAAAAGCAAACCTGAGTTTTAACTTGGTGACTGTTGACTCCCTCCTGACAGCGAGGCGGTGGTGAACCGAGTGTTTGACAAGCTGTCCCCGCTGCACGAGCACATCTACTGTGCACTCTCTGGTTCAGCTGCTGATGCCCAAGCCGTGGCCGACATGGCCGCCTACCAGCTGGAGCTCCATGGGTATGAAGCTCTGGAGTTCTGACTCCCCACCCACTAGAGCTCCCCCAACCTGCATGAATCCCTGTACAGTGTGCTGTTCCAGGAGCTGGACACTGGGAAATGGAAAAGTCTTGTTTCGGCTCTTGCTGGCACTTGAATCTGTCAGTTTCTGCATCTGTAAAGTGGAGATAATATAGCACCTCATGAGACGGTTATTTTGAGAACCACGTTCTATATGTGAACACAGTTTAAAAGCTGTAAATCACTATCCTGATATAAATAATCAGGAAGAAGGTGATATTGTGACCCACCATAATATCAGGCAGTTACCATACGAGAAATCAAGGTCGTTGGGATGGAAGTAACCTTATCTGCTTTTCCCCATAAGAGCAGGGTCCTTGCAGCCAAAAGAAAGTTATGTGGGTGGGGCTGAGCAAAAGAGTGAGCAATTGAAAGCTTCTTACCAGTTGGTGGTGTGGGACTCTGGTTCCCCTGTACATGTGGGAGGGAGGCTGCAGTTTGAGCTATTGCAGTTACAGTTTTCAGGGGTCGTTTAGCAGGGATGATGGTAACAGTATAGGAGAATGAGACTTAAAATTCTATCAACCTTTATTCCTAATATTTCCCTCAGGATAGAACTGGAGGAACCTCCACTTGTTTTGGCTGCTGCAAATGTGGTGAGAAATATCAGCTATAAATATCGAGAGGACTTGTCTGCACATCTCATGGTAGCTGGCTGGGACCAACGTGAAGGAGGTCAGGTGAGTTTCTCCCAAAGCACTCTCTCCTCTGGGCTTCCCCACTCTCCTGCAGAGGAAGATGGAAGTCCTATGTCATTCTAGCAATGAGTTCCAAGGACACTACCTCTGAAAGCATAGTACTTTGGGGATATGAGATACCAGGGCTTCATTGCAGGGTGCAGAGACCACTTAATGTCTCAGTGGGAAGGAAGGGCTTGATGATTCTTTAACCTGAGGATCCCTTTCCCAGGTATATGGAACCCTGGGAGGAATGCTGACTCGACAGCCTTTTGCCATTGGTGGCTCCGGCAGCACCTTTATCTATGGTTATGTGGATGCAGCATATAAGCCAGGCATGTCTCCCGAGGAGTGCAGGCGCTTCACCACAGACGGTAACCAGCCAAGTGGAAGGGTACCTGGGGAGGGCTTTGAAACATGGGAAGGAAGTAGATTATGAGGAACAGGAAGAGAAATACAGGGGTGGCCATTTAAGTTAATGCCGGGCCTGGTACACTTTTAAGAGTGAAAAGGGGCAGGACAAATGCAAAGCTCAATGGGGCTCTTGGGCAATACGGATAAACCAGGGCTGTTCTGAGTAAATCAAATGAGGATACACAGTCACTGTGAGAACCAGTGGTGTGCTAAGCACAGTGGCTCACACCTGTAATGCCAACAATTTGGGAGGCTGAGGCAGGAGGATTACTTGAGCCCAGGAGTTTGAGGCCAGCCTAGGCAAGATGGTGAAACCCTGTCTCCACAAAAAACAATAAAAAAAAGTAAAAAAAAAATGAACTGGGCATAGTGGTGCACACCTGTAGTCCCAGCTACTCAGGAGGCTGAGGTGGAAAGATCATCTGAGCCGGGGAGATCAAGGCTGTAGTGAGCGGTGATTGCACCACTGCGCTGCAGCCTAGGTGACAGAGAGAGACCCTGTCTGGAGAAAAAAAAAAAAAAAAAAGAACCAGTGGTGTGCTGAGGTGTGCTGAGGCTGGCTTGGGACCACTCATGAGAGCGGACTGTTAAATAGTCAAGGATTTGTGAACTGCTTAGCTATTTGTAACTTGCAATTCATCATAGCGGGAGCATTTACACCATGGACATCAGCAGATGCCACATATGGAAGCCTTTTTGTAAAAAAACTGATTTACCAGCACACCACTAAATATGCCTTCCTGGAAGATGAGTTTTGAGGTGAAAGTGGTAGTAGGCATATGGATGGAGGGGGAGTAAAAAGATTTTTGAAGCTAAGCCATCCTCTCTCTCCCTCTCTCCAACTTGAAACCCTCTGCAGCTATTGCTCTGGCCATGAGCCGGGATGGCTCAAGCGGGGGTGTCATCTACCTGGTCACTATTACAGCTGCCGGTGTGGACCATCGAGTCATCTTGGGCAATGAACTGCCAAAATTCTATGATGAGTGAACCTTCCCCAGACTTCTCTTTCTTATTTTGTAATAAACTCTCTAGGGCCAAAACCTGGTATGGTCATTGGGAAATGAGTGCTCAGGGAGATGGAGCTTAGGGGAGGTGGGTGCTTCCCTCCTAGATGTCAGCATACACTCTTTCTTCTTTTGTCCCAGGTCTAAAACATCTTTCCTAGAGAAAACAAAAGGGACTAAACTAGAAATATAAAGAGCCCTATACATGACAGGTGATCACGTACTGAATGATTTTGTAGTACAAACAATAAAAATTCTCATTCCGCATCATCATGCGGTCCATGATGATGAGGCCGCAAGTGAGGTGATGGGACTCTTTCCTTTAAGGCTAAGACTGACAGATAGGCAAGACACCTACACACATGAGAATTAGCTAAGACTATCAGCAAACTCGCATGTAAAAGAATTCCTTTCATAATGCATTCATTCATATTAAAGGGCAATACATGAAAAATGCTTAAATATTTTGGGGCACTTGTGAATTTCAAAGAATAATGACAATAACCAAAAGAAGCTACATTTGTGGCATTGGCTAAATGTTTTATAAATTTTATCTCTTAAAATTCAAACCAAAAAACCCCCTGTATTCACACCTGTAATCCCAGCACTTTGGGAGGTCAAGGCGGGAGGATTGCTTGAGCCCAGGAGTTAGTGACCAGCCTGGGCAACATAGTGAGAACCCCATCTCTACAAAAAAATTTAAAAATTAGTCGGGTGCGGTGGTGCATGCCTGTAGTCCCAGCTGCCTGGGAGGCTGAGTGGGAGGATCGCTTAGGCCTGGGAGTTTGAGGCTACAGTGAGCTGTGATTGCGCCACTGCACTCTAGTGTGGGTGACAGAGAAAGACCCTATCTTAAGAAAAAAAAAAGAAAAGAAAAAGAAAAAACAAACAAACAAAAACACCCAACCCTATATAGGTAGTATTATTACTTCTATAGGACACATAGAGGTTTGGAAAGATTAAATCACTTGACCAAGGTCACAAAATAAGTTCTGAGGCTGGGATCTGGGATTCAGTCTTATTATATGCCCTTCCTCTACCACTCCCTAAAACTTCTCATTCCCTCAATCCCCATATATCATCTTAAAATCTGCAATAAATAGCCCCATACATTCGTTGGCACTTAGGAAACTGTTACCAGATGGCTGAGTAACTGTATTAAAACAAATTTAATTCTGCTTCTATCTTTGCCTTGCACTTCCTGAGTGACAGGAGTGAACTCTCATATCCTTTTCTGTCAAAAGATGGTGCTGAATGATTTCTAAGGTAGTTTACAGTTCCAACATTCAATGCCATTTTGCTAACAAGTGGGCAGTCAACAGGCATATTCAACAGAAATACTAGTAGGATCTCAGGCTAAACATACGAATTCAAAACTCTAAAACAATCACATCCCCCTGGAGTGTAAAGAAAAAAATCTAAAATTACAAATGCCTGGAGTTGTTTCTAGCCATGATATTTAACTTATTTGAGATTTTAAATAGCCCATTTTTCCCACTGATCACAAGTAGAAATTCTGGGCAGTATACAAAAAGCAAGTACTCAAGGACTCCAAAAAGTAAACAAAAGCAGGTGGATTGTGAAGAGGGTCAAAACTGGGAGAGGGGCCCCTCCTGGGGAGTGGGTTTTCAATGTTTTCCCCTTTTTTCCTCCCAGCTCTGCCCTGACGTCAGGCCTCAGGTGCAGAGCTGCACTGCGTGGTAGCACAAGCCCTGAGTTAACAAGAGAAATACCGGCTTTCTGGCCAGAGGAATGAAGAAAAAGGGCCCCTGCAGGCAGGAATGTGTAGGGGAATCTCCAAACTGAGAGTACAGGCGGAAATTCCCTAATTCTGAGTCTGAACCCTCAGGAGTACCAGGTTACCCCTGAGCTGCACATGCGTGTGACATGCCTTAAGGGCACAGCAAAGACTTTGAGAACTGAATGAAGATTAGATCTTTTAAAATTAGAAGACTTCGGCCAGGCGCGGTGGCTCATGCCTGTAATTCCAGCACTTTGGGAGGCCAAGGCGGGTGGTTCACCTGAGGTCAGGAGTTCGTGACCAGTCTGGCCAACATGGTGAAACCTCATCTCTACTTAAAATACAAAAATTAGCTGGGCGTGGTGCCTGTAATCCCAGCTACTCGGGAGGCTGAGGCAGGGAGAATCGCTTGAACCCGGGAGGCAAAGGTGGCAGTGAGCCAAGATTGCGCCATTGCACTCCACCTGGGCGACAAGAGAGAAATTCCATCTCAAAAAAAAAAAAAAAAAAAAAAATTAGAAGACTTCATTTTTCTGTATTGGCCAAATAACTGTTCTAATGCCCTTCATTCCAATAAAAGGTTTGTAGCAGCTTACAGAGATAATTTAAAACAATTTTTAAAAGAAGAAAACAACACTGGGTCAAAGAGAAAATATGGTTAAGAAAAGTAAGTGAAGCCAAGGAGTGAAACTAATGGAAACTAATGGACAACGTGAATATCTTAAAAAAAAAAAAAGTGGTGCGCTGTCTTATACTGGCTAGCAAGAGCAGATTGCAAAGTATTCAGGATTTTTGAAGACAGTTGTTAACTATTGGTAACTTGATATTGACCACTATGGAAGTATTTATACTATAGAAATCAGCAATGCTACAAGTCAGAAGCATTGTTTTTCTTCAGAGAGCCGGTTTAACAGGACACATATTTATCAGCCAACTATAAATAGATAAAAAATAATTGGCTCCGGGCCATAGGATAGTGAAAGCAAAGAAGGAAATAAAATGAGGTACAAGATTCATAAAATTCATTTTTTAAAAGTTGCCAGAAAACCAAAAATTATATATAATAGTTCAAGCCACACAGAACATTTACTCAAATAGGACATGCATCATTCCATAAAGGTAACGCCAATAAATTCCAGAGTATCGGTATCTTAGAAACTATCTATATTCTAGGCCAGGAGCAGTGGCTCACGCCTGTAATCCCAACATTTTGGGAGGTCAAGGTGGGCAGATCCCTAGAGCCCAGGAGTTTGAGACCAGCCTGGGCAACATGGCAAAACCCCGTCTCTACAAAAAATTTAGCTGGATGGGGTGCACCTGTAATCCCAACTAGTCAGAAGGCTAGATGGGAGGATCGCTTGAACCCAGGAGGCAGAGGTTGCAGTGAGCTGAGATTGTGCCACTGCCCTCCAGCCTGGGCAACAGAGTAAGACACTGTCTTAAAAAAAAAAAAAAAAAAGAAAGAAAGAAAGAAAGAAAGAAACTATATTCTGCAACCATACTGTAATAAAATTAGAACTTGATAACTAAAATATACTTAAAATTGTAAGTGAACAAATATATTTATCAGTAACATGGATTTAAAAGGCAGTCGTGGATGGGAGCATCGCTGGAGTCCAGAAGATGGAGGCTGCAGTGAGGCATGATTGCGTCACTGCACTCCAGCCTCAGCAATAGAGTGGGACCCTGTGTCAAATAAATAAACAGCAGTTATAAAGAAAATTAACTCTTTTAGAACCAGGTGTTAAAAATGTTACACATAAAATATACATATAAAATAATATTATAATTTCAAATACATTTATTAGAACAAGAAAAGTTAAAATAAAGGACCTAAAAATTCTACTCAAAAATTTGGAAAAAGAGAAGTTGAGCAAACCTAAAGAAATACGAAGAAAAGGAGTTATAAAGATAAGAATAGAAAGCAATGAAACAGAAATAGAGAACAAAAAACTAGGTAGTGAAAATTAACATACTTTTGATTCCAAAAGCTGCTTACTTAAAAATATTTGTAAGATATTCAGAGTTACAACAAGGCCGATTATGGATAAAGGGAGAAAAAATGAATAAACAAATACATAATGAAAAAGGGGGAACAGCTACAGATATGACACAGATATAAAGCATAGAGTGTTATGAACAAGTATATGCTAATAAATTTGAAAACCTAGGTGAGATATGCAAATTCCTAGAAACATTTAATCTATCAAAATTAGCACAAAAAGAAATACAAAACTTGACTATACCAATGAGTATTAAAGCAATTTTTAAAGTTATCAATGGCATCTAATAAAAAAATATATTTTTGAAAATGCCCAGATGGTTTCACAGATGAGTTCTATCAAACATTCAAGGAACATGAAACTTCTATATTATATACTTTTTCCAGAAAATAGAAAAAAACTAAACCTGATTAGCTAATTTTATCAGCCGAGTGTAATCTTGACTCCAAATTGAGTTGTGGAAAACTCAAGGAAAAAAAATAATAGACCCATTTCACCTTGAACACAGATGGGAGAAAAAAATAATTATTTATGAACCGAATTCAACAATATTACAAATAATAATACTGGGAGGCCGAGGTGGGAGGATCGCCTGAGGCCAGGAGTTCAAGACCAGCATTGTCAACATACTGAGATCCTGTCTCTACAAAAAATTAAAAAATTAGCCAGGTGTGGTGGTGAGCACCTGTAGTCTCAGCTACTAGGGAGGCTGAGGCAGGAAGATCATTTGAGCCCAGGAGTTTGAGGCTGCAGTAAGCTATGATTGCACCACTGCATTTCGGCCTGTGCAACAGAGCAAGGCCCTGTCTCTAAAAATATGTATAATAATAACAATAATAATAATGATTATGCTAATAATGATACATCAAGATCAAATAGGGAATCCTTGGAATACTAGGGTGGTTCAATATAATAAAACATATTGTTGCTATAATTTACCATATTCATAGAGAAGTCATTTCCTTTGCTCAGTCTATTAATAAAAGACATTTGGTAAAGTATATCCATTTGTGATTTTTGAAAAACAGTTAAGGAAGCAGGAATCAAAACTTTCCTATTTTGGCAAAGGTTATAATCCAAAAAATCTGTAACCACTAGTATACATAACGGAAAAACCTTGGGTATCCAAGACAAGAATGTTCACTATAATTACTAGCTTATCATAGCACTAAAGCCTATGGGCAACATAACAAGACCCCATTTACCAAAAATAAATTTAAAACATTTTAATTAGCTGGCATGGTGGCATGCACCTGTAGTCCTACCTACTTGGGAGGCCAAGGCAGGAAGATTGCTTGAGCCCAGGAGTTTGAGCTTATTGTGAGCTGTGATCACACCACTGCACTCCAGCCTGGGTGACAAAGGAAGACCGTATTTCTAAAAAATAAAAAATACAAATACAACTACAAACTAGCACTAGACCAACAGTGACTATGTACCATGAACTGAGGAATATTATTAATTCCACCATTTGCATCTGAGGTTAACAATATGTCAATGACTTAAATAACATCATATCTCTGAGAGTAATTTCTCCTATATTTCCATGACAAATGTTAGATAATTTTCCATTTTTTCCATTCAACAAAATAAACAGGAAATATAATTAAAGAGTTCAATTGAGGATTGGGATTTAGAAAGGAAGGCAGGAATTAAGAATAATCCTTAGTTCTCTTCCTAATTTGCACCTCTCTCACTGATACATATGTATTATTTTCTTTTTATGTCTTTTAGAGTCTAATAAACATGTTTTATATTATATAACAAACTAGAATATATGGATTATCTTTGGTCTTCCTTACCAAGTTCTTAACTCTGCTGGCTCTGGGGCACTGGACATACCATGTAAGAAGAAAAATGTTTTAACTCCATTGAACTTATTCAGAAGCATCGGAAATTGGTTCAGCAATATTCAACTTTGCCCAGCAATGTTTATGAAAGTTTCATATATAGTATAGTATAAGTATGTGTAATACAGAATTTATGTTCTCAAAAATGAAGAGATAAAGTATGGAGATTCTAAACTCTGTTGACATAGAAGAGGGTGGATTTCTCGAAGAAACAGCCTTCTATAGAAAGTGGCTTGTATGAGTCGGGATTCTCCAGAGAAGCAGAACCAATAGGATGTTGGCAGAGAGAGATTTATTTTAAGTAATTGGCTCATACTACTGTGGAAGCTGGCACGGTCGAAATCTGCAGGTAGGCTGGAGACCCGGGAAGAGCTGATGTTGCGGCTTGAGTCTGAAGGTGGTCCAGAGGCAGAATTCCCTCTTCCTTGGAGGACATCAGTCTTTGCCCCTAAGACCTTCAACTGATTGGAAGGGCCACTTACATTATGGAGGGTAATCTGCTTTACCCAAAATCTATTGATTTAAATGTAAATCTCATCTAAAAAATACCTTCACTGCAATATCTAGACTGGTATTCAAATGTCTAGAAACCATAGCCTAGCCAAGTTAACACATAAAATTAACTATCACTTGGCTCAAGGTGAAACTTCCAGATCAATGTGGCAGGAGTGTTGAGGAAGGAAGTGAACTCGGTTCTAACCAAGTAGGACAGCCAAATCATCACTGAAGTGTGGCACTGGCCTTTCGCCAAGGTAACATGTGGCAAGGTTTTAGGTTAGGATAGGTACCAGGCAAAAGCTGGGTGACTCGATGGAGGCTTTTGTGCCAACCTTCAGAGACTGGCTGCGTCAGACTGCCCTCAAGAGCATACAAAGGAAAAAAGACAAATTAAAAGCCTTTAATCCAAACTCAAGACATGAATGAAAAACTGTAAATGCCTCTATAGCAGTTTTAAAGGCTATCTTTTCTCCTGCAACCCAGCACAGATATGGCTGAGGGTCAAGCCCGGGGGCTTATGATAAAGGTTATGAAGTTGTAGAAATGTTTGTTGCATCATCCAACAGCAGCTGTTGTGATAAGGCAAGACCCCTGGTTGGGATAGACCGGACCCTGAGATATGAAATAGGGACATATGAGCAGACACAGAGAAGTCTGAGTGAGAACTATGAATCACCGCACCCCCTGAGGGTCCTTGCTGGAAGAAGCAGACTCACCGTATTAGTTACCTATTGCCATGTAATGAATGACACCCGCTTAAAATAACAGACATTTACTATAAGGTGTTACTGGGACAATGGGGGATTTTTTAATATGGATTGTGTGTTTGATAATATGGTATCAATTTTAAGTATCTTGGGGGTGATGACAGTATTAGGGTTTTGCAGGAGAAATGTCCTTATTCTTAAATTATACATGACAAAATATTTAGGGGTCAAGTGGCATAATTTCCACAGATTACTCTCAAATTGTTTAACAAAATGGTTCTTCAACAGTAAATGGATAAACAAAACGTAGTCTATTCGTGCAACACAGTACTATGTAAACAATGAAACTTCATCAACTACTGAAAATGTAACAACATGGACGAATCTCATAGAAACAATATTAAGTGAAGAAGCCAGACTTGCAGAAATACATACTGTATGTTTCCATTATCTATTGCTGGGCAGCACACCAACTCCAAACTTAATGGCTTAAAACAAAAATAATCATTTTATTATCTCTCATGAAACTGTGAATTACTGGACTTTAAGAGCCACTGATGTAGTCCATGAACCAAAACACATATTCACGGCAGCCACTCCACCCAGCACCTCACACCTGTGATGTTTACTGGCTGCCCATGGGATTTGAACACCTTTAGAGTACTGTGAAATTTCCCCTACCTTTTGAGTCCTGCCTCCCTAAAGTGGAAACCAGAAAGCTCACTTCCCCTAGCCTTCTTTGAAGCTAGAGCACCTAAGTTCCACCAATTAAATTCATCCACCTAAGACTTCAGTTACAAAGGGGCCACAGGAGGAACCAGGGTGTGGGGGTTGCAGAGCACCTTTTACTGTATTTATTTCTCTGGCAAAGGTGACAGAAGAAGCAACTGTCTTTTGGGGAAGCGGTGGGTTTTTTCCTTTTTTTTTTTTTTTTTTTAAGTGAAGTTCCTGAAACAGAAGTGGTTTAGGAGGTGTCTTCAGTGGTGGCTGCAGCAACCTCCAGGTCCTAACAACAGAACCAACAGCAGCGTCTAGAAGCCATGGGGCAGCAGCAGTGGTGTGGCTCATCAGACCTGCTCTCTGCGTGGTCTGACCCTGTACATACATGTGCCTCTCATCCGTAGTTCCAGCATTTCCTCTCTAAAGTCTAGTTCTGAGAGAAATTTCTTTGGTAGACTTTTCAAAGTTTTATCAAACTCAAAGAGGGAACCAGCAAGAATACAAGAGCCTTGATCCAAAGAGTATTTGAAAAACAGAGCTGTATCTCTCTGTGAGGAAATAATTTCTAGGCTAGAGATTCAAAATGGCTAACGTGCTAGAGGGCAATAAAATCATAACCTTGGTGTTATCTTCTTTACCGGAGAAAAAGAGAAAGCCAGCATCCCTTATCAGCTCTCTGCTGATTAACCTCTAATCGCACAGGGCTGGCCGGGTTCGTCTTAGGCAAATTACAATCCCTGAAACACTCTGGTTTTGATAAGGCAGAATTATGAGCAAAGGTTCAAGTGTGATATAAAATAATCAAGCACGTACAATTTTGCCTTATTTATAATTTTGAAACACTTTTCCTACACAATTTCTGACCTTAAGGGGCAGAATTAACCAAATAAAACTTTTCAGAAATGCTCTAATTCAGTTCCACTCATTTTATCGTCTCTATTTGGCCTGTTTTAGGGCTAAACCCAGAAGCAAAATCTTCTTCAAAATGAATGTATTGACAGTCACCATGCCAGACTTGGAGTACGAACAAGAGCATCCTTTTACCCTTACTGAAACCTATGTGGTCACTAAAACATATATCAATAATATTTTTAACCTGGACAAAATTAATCTAGAAAATTGAGCTACTGTTTTTTATTTGTCAGCTTTTACCACATTGTGGGTTTGAGACACAGGTAGTTCTTTTGATAGTACAGCGTTAATTTAAAATATAAAAATCATGCCAAACACATCTAATTACTTTTAGCTTCCTTCAACAGTAGGCGGAGGAAGGTGAAAAATTAAGCCTTTTGCGCCACCTAGTGGCCAAATGGGTAGTGGCTGTCTAGTGAGAAAAAACAAAGATTTGGGGGCGTGAAAAATAGCTTGACAGTGTTAGTATTCTGAATTCAGGGTATGAGGTTGGAAGAAGGCAACAACAAAAAAGAATTTTCAGAGAAACTGGTCACTTAAGTGCATAGGTACCTGAGAGTGAGCAATTGTTATAACTTTGATATCTCAATAACCAGAGTGACAATAAAACATTTGAAAATAAACATAAAGAAGGTAACAATTATAAGAAACTTTAGGTGTTTCAGAAGCAAATGGTTTTTTGTTGTTGTTTGTTTTTAAAATAATTTAAAA
The DNA here is from genome assembly GCF_000001405.40 of Homo sapiens. Lineage (NCBI taxonomy): Eukaryota > Metazoa > Chordata > Mammalia > Primates > Hominidae > Homo > Homo sapiens. The sequence goes on from NT_167244.2 coordinate 4,173,557, forward strand.
ACTTGATGCTATCAGCACAAAGCACTAAAAGTTATCAAGGTATTAAGTGAGAGCATTCTGATAAGAAACCACCGCTAGCTGGGCAGATTATGCTAAAGGGAAAGAAAAAGTTTTTTCTCTGTCTTTAAGTGTAGAGTGTATATTCCAAGATCAATTTTAAATTACAAATCCTCTCCTTTTTTGCTTATTAATTCGAATTCATCATTACGTGTGTGTTTTACAGAAATACATACATAGTTGAATGACAATTTTGTTTAAAACTTTCCACTTTAGTTTTAAAATGTAGTTAATCTTATCAATACAATACATGAATGTATATCCACACTAAGTTTACCACCTTAATTTGAGTTTTGCAAAAATTAAATATGGACAAAGGTATATATATAGAAAGCCACTTAGTGACCCAATAATCTTTCTCTCTATGATACACTTAAGAATTTTTTAGACAATAAAAAGTCACTTATTAACTAGCTCAGTGAAAATTAGTCCAAAGTAACAAAATCATTTGAGGCTGCAAAACAACAATATCACTATTGATATTAGGAGTTTTTCAAAGAGGTAAAATTCTAAAATTTTTACATAGAGTGCAAGCTAAGTAGCTAAGTCAAATGACTTGCAATATTTTTCTGAAATTCACAAGAGCCAATAGTTAAAAAAAAGCATCTCATAACATTTAATTAAAAATATACATTTTCATTTAAGTTTGCTTCCCACAAACCACTGACACACTCATTGACACAGTGAATGAGTCTAGTGACAAGAAACAAATCCTTTTTGTTAGGTCACTTCTAACACTCTGCCTCCAACAAAATAAAGAGGACCTATTCAAGCTGTCAGCTATTATATCATTTAAAGTAATTTTGGGAAGGAGGCCAGGCAGGAGGATCGCTTGAGGCCAGGAGTTCAAGACCAGCCCTGGGCAACATAATGAGACCCTGTCTCTATGAATAATAATAATAAAATTAGTCAGGCATAGTTCGATGTGTCATAGTCCTAGATACTCTGAAGGCTGAGGCAGGAGGATCACTTGAGCCCAGGAGTTCGAGGTTACAGTGAGCTATGATCGCACCACTACACTCCATCTTGGGTAATGGGGCCAGCCAAACACCACAGAAAAAACTGCGACTCCACCCCCACCAGCTAAGGTCAAATGAGGAGCCTAGACTTTCACCCTCACCAGGCTGTCATAAGGAACCCAACACTTCAACACACACATGCCCACACACCAGGATGGTGTCAGAGAAAGTGAATAGGGAGTCAGGATGGTCATGCCCTCTTGGTGAAAATGTACTCCTTTCCCCAAGCCCCTGAAATGTCAATGGAAACCTAGACTTCCATTCCTCACCCAACAGTAATGAAGCATCTCTTCCCCTCTCCTCTAGGGTGATGTCAGACAATGCCTAATGGAGAGTCAGGATTTTCATCACCACCCAGAGTTAATCCAGCAACCACTCCCTGATACCTACCACTCACTCCTCCACTCCACTGTCCCATCTTGGTGTCAATAAAGGTCATGTGAGGGATAGTAAGTGGCACTCCTCTCCCAACCAACCAGGGAGGTATTAGTGGGCACCTAATAGGGAGCCAGAATTTCTGTCCCCACTCATAATAATGGGGACCTATCTGAGGTGTCAATGAAGGCAGAGTGAGAAGCCTGGACTCCTACCCCTACCTGGCGTCATGAAGCTCACCTGCCTACCTGCTGGAGAGGTGTTAAAAGAAGCCAGCTAAAACAGTTTAAATAAGACCGATAGCCTTATAACATAATGCCTGAAATGTCCAAGTTTCAACTGGAAATTATTTGTCATATCAGGAACCAGGAATATCTCAAATTGAATTTTTAAAAGACAATAAAATAGATGCCAAAACGGAAAGAAAAGCCTGATGAAGATTTTAAAGCCACCATTATTAAAATGCTTTGATGAGCAATTAACACTTAAAAGAATGAAAAAAATAGGATGTCCAGTTCAGTGGTTTAAAAAAAGAAAGAAGAAGAAAAGAGCAGAAAAGAAAAAAATAGGATGTTTCAGCATAAAAATAGGATATATACGGAAGAAAACGTGGAAATTTTAGAACTGAAAAGTGCAATAGCCAAAATAAAAAGCACAGTAAATAAGCTCAGCAGCAGAAGGAGAGAACAGAGGAAAGAATTAGCTACCTTGAAGACACAGCAATAGCAATCACTCAATCTGAACAAAAGAAAGAAAGAAAATACACTGGAAAAAATGGACAAAGCCTCAGGGACCCATGGGGCTATAACAAAAGATTTAATGTTCATGTACTCAGAGTCCCAAAATGAGAGGAAAAAGAGAGTGAAGCTGAAAAAAATTATCAAATAAATATGGTTGAAAACTTCCCAAATTTGGCAGAAGACATAAACCTAGTGATTTAAGAAGGTGAGTGAACCCCAAATAGGACAAACCCAAAGAAAGCCACACCAAAATCATAGTAATTAACTAAAAATTAAAGACAAAAAGAATCTTGAAAGCAGTGAGATAAATGACATCTAACAGGTGGAAAAAATGACAGAGCAAAATTTTCATCAGAAACTGTGTAAGCCCGAAGGAGGTCACCACCTTTTTCCAGTGCTGAAAGGAAAAAAAAATATCAACTTAGAACACTATATCAGCAAAAATATCCAGGGAAATTAAGACATACAGAGATGAGGGAAAACTAACAGAATTTGTCACTAACAGGTCTACCCTAAAAAAACAAAAAGTTAAATTGAGGACAGTTGGAACATCAGGAAGGAAGAAAGAACATGGCAAGAAAAAATATGGGTTAAAAAATGGACTTTACTTCTTCTCTTGAGTTATTTAAATTATAGGATTGAAGAAAAACGTATAATACTGTATCATATGGTTATAAATGTATATAGAGAAAATATTACAGGCAATTATAAATGAGGGAGGGTAAACAAAGAGAGAAGAAATTTCTACACATCACTCAGACTGGTAATTAATGACAATAAATAAGTTACATAAATATAATGTAATACCTAGAACAACCACTAAAAGAGCTATCCAAAGAGGTACACACACATACACACACACAGCTATAGATAAATTAAAATGGAATTTTAAAATTATTTAGGAAGCAATGAAAAAGAAAACAAAGAAATGAAAAACAGAGAGAACAAACAGAAAACAAAAAATAAAATGTCAGACTTAAGCCTGGACATAACAATATTATAGGAAATATAAATCGCCTAAATACATCAATTTTAAGAGACAGAGCTTGGCAGAATAGATTTAAAAATATGACTCTGTCGGGTGCGGTGGCTCACGCCTGTAATCCCAACACTTTGGGAGGCCAAGGCAGGTGGATCACAAGGTCAGGAGATGACCATCCTGGCTAACATGGTGAAACTCCATCTTTACTAAAGGTACAAAAATTAGCCAGCTGTGGTGGCACAAGCCTGTAGCCCCAGCTACTCGGGAGGCTGAAGCAGGAGAATCTCTTGAACCCGGGAGGTGGAGGTTGCAGTGAGCTGAGATCACACCACTTCACACCGCTGCACTCCAGCCTGGGCAACAGAGCGAGACTCCGTCTCAAAAAAAAAAAAAAAGACTCAATTATTTGCTGTTTATGATAAACTCACTTCAAATATAGTGATATAGGCGGTTTATAAGTTAAAGGATAGAAAAACATATATCAGGCAAAAAATAATAAAGGGAGGCTATATTAATATCAAATAAACTTAGAACAAAGAAAATTACTAGAAATGGATAGGAACACTATGTAATAATAAAAGGGTAAATCTACCAAAAAGACATAGCAATCTTAAATATGTATGCACCAAACAACAGGGCTGCAAATTATGTAAAGCAAAAACTGATAGAACTGAAAAGAAAATAGGCAAGTCAACAATGATAGTTGAAGACTTCAGTAGTTTTCTCTCAATAATTGATTAAACAAATAGACAAAAATTGAGAAAAAACATAGAAGAATAAACAACATCAAACCATAAGATCTAATCAACATTTATAGAACACACCACCCAACAACAGAAGATACATTATTTTCTTTTTCGTTGCTTTTAGTAGATTCCACAAGATTTTCTTTTTTCTTTTTTCTTTTTTTTCCTTTTATTTTAAGTTCAGGGGTACATGTGCAGGTCTGTTACATAGGTAAACAGTGTCATGGAGGTTTGTTGTGCAGATTATTTCATCATCCAGGAATTAAGTCTAGTACCCATTAGCTATTTTTCCTGACCCTCTGGCTCCTCCCAACCTCCACCCTCCAATAGGCCCCAGTATGTGTTTTTCCTCTCTGTGTCCATGTGTCCATCATTTAGCCCCCACTTATGAGAACATGCAGTATTTGGTTTTCTGTACCTGCAATAGTTTGCTAAGGATAATGGCCTCCAGCTCCATCCATGTCCCTGCAAAAGACGTGATCTCATTATTTTTATGGCTGCATAGTATTCCATGGCAGAATACACTTTTTTTTTTTTTTTTTTTTGAGATGGAGTTTCACTCTTATTGCCCACACTGGAGTGCAATGGCAGAATCTCGGCTCATTGCAACCTCTGCCTCCCAGGTTCAAGCAATTCTCCTGCCTCAGCCTCCTGAGTAGCTGAGATTACAGGCACACACCACCATGCCTGGCTAATTATTTATTTATTTATTTATTTATTTATTTATTTATTTATTTATTTTTTGTATAGATGAGGTTTCACCATGTTGATCAGGCTGGTCTCAAACTCCTGACCTCAGGTGATCCACCCACCTCAGCCTCCCAAAGTGCTGGGATTGCAGGCATGAGCCACTGCACCCAGCCAGAATAACATTTTTTTAAGTGCCCACAGAATATATGCCAAGATAGACCATATCTAAGATAACAAAAGACCAAAAAATTTTTTAAATAAAATCATAAAGAAAGTGTTCTCCTACCACAATGGAACCAAACCAGAAATCAACAACAGGAAAATATCTAAACATTTGGAGACAAAACAACACACTTAGAAATACATGGGTCAAGGAGGAAGTCTCAAGGAAATTTTTTAAAAATACACACAATAAACACAACTAAACAAAAATGAAAATATGCCATATCAGAATTTGTGAGATACAGTTATAGTAGTTATAAGAGGTAAATTTAAGTTCCAGGATACATGTGCAGGATGTGCAGGTTTGTTACATAGGTAAACATGTGCCATGGTGGTTTGCTGCACATATCAACCCATCACCTAGGTATTAAGACAAGCATGCATTAGCTATTTTTCCTGATGCTCTCCCTCCCTCCAACCTCACCCCAGACAGACCCCAGTGTGTGTTTTTCCCCTCCCTGTGTCCTTGTGTTCTCATTGTTCAGCTCCCACTGATAAGTGAGAACATGTGGTGTTTGGTTTTCTGTTCCTGCATTAGTTTGATGAGGATAATGGCTTCCAGCTTCATCCATGTCTCTGCAAATAACAGGATCTCATTCCTTTTTATGGCTGTATAGTATTCCATGGTGCATATGTACATTTTCCTTATCCAGTCTGTCATTGATGGGCAGTTGGGTTGATTCCATGTCTTTGCTATTGTGAATAGTACTGCAATGAACATACAAGTGCATGTATCTTTATAACAGAATGATTTGTATTCCTTTGGGTATATACTCAGTAATGGGATTGCTGGGTCAAATGGTATTTCTGGTTCTAGATCTTTGAGGAATTGCCACACTGTCTTCCACAATGGTTGAACTAATTTACATTCCATCAACAATGTAAAAGCATTTCTATTTCTCCGCAACCTTGTCAGCATCTGTTGTTTCTTGAGTTTTAATAATCGCCATTCTGACTGGCGTGAGATGGCATTTCATTGTGGTTTTGATTTGCATTTGAGAAGTAAATTTAAAGCACTAACTGCATACATTGGAAAAGAGGAAAAGTCTCAAACCAATAATCTAAACTCTCACCTCAAGAATCTAGTAAAAGAATAACAAAATAAAAAGCAAGCAGAACAATGAAACTGAAAACAGAAAAACAAAAGCAAAAAAAAAATCAATGAAGCAAAGAGCTGGTTCTTTGAAAGATTAATAAAATTGGCAAACCACTAGCAAGACTCAGAAAAAAAGACGACAGAAGATAGAAGCTACCAACATCAGAAATGAAATGGGATATCATCAAAGATTCTACAGACATCAAAAGGATAACAAAAGAATACTATGAACAATTCTACACACATAAATTTGACACTTAAATTAAATGGATCATTTTCTCAAAAAATATAAAGTGCCACAACTCACTAAATATAAAATAATTCAAAAATGTCTACACCTATTGAGGAAATTGAATTCATAATTTAAAAACTCACAAAAGGAAATATTTAGGAACAAATAGTTTCAATGAAGAATTCTACCAAAGATTTAAAGAAGAATTAACACCAATTAATCTCTTCCAGAAAATAGAAGCAGAGGAAGCATTTCCCAGTTTATTTTATAAAGCTAGAATTACCTCAATACCAAAACCAAACAATGACAATGGGAAGAAAAGAAAACTGTAGACTAATATTCCTCATGATGCAGCAATCTTTAACAAAATATTAGCAAGTGGAATTTACCAACATATAAAAAGAATTATGTACAATGACCACGTGAGAGTTATCCCAGGGATGCAAAGCTGGTTGGATATTCACAATTAATTAATGTAATCCATCATATTATAGGCTGAAGAGGAAAATTTACTTGTTCATATCAATTGATGAAGAAAAAGTATTTAACCCACTTTAACACCCATTCATTATTTTTTTTTAATCTCAGAAATATAGGAGTAGAGTAGATCTTTCTTTACTTGATAAAGATCGTCTACAAAAATCCTATGGTGAACATACTTGATTCTGAAAGACTGAATAGTTTCTACCTAAAATCAGGAACAAGGCAAGAATGTCCACTCTCACCACTCTTATTCACAGTGTTGGAAGTTCTAGACAGTGCAATAGGCATGAAAAAGGAGATTAAAGGCATACAGATTGTGAAGTAAGAAATAAACAGCTCCCATTTGTAAGTGACATGATTGTCTATGTAGAAAATCACAAGGAAGCTACAGAAAAACTTCTAGATATGTGATTTCAGCAAATTAACAGAATACAGGATAAACCAGTATCAATTGTATTTCTACATACAATGAACAAGTGATACATATATATATATATATATATTTTTTTTTTTTTTTTTTTTTTTTGAGACGGAGTCTCGCTCTGTCGCCCAGGCTGGAGTGCAGTGGCACGATCTCGGCTCACCACAAGCTCCGCCTCCCGGGTTCACGCCATTCTCCTGCCTCAGCCTCCGGAGTAGCTGGGACTACAGACGCCTACCACCATGCCCGGCTAATTTTTTGTATTTTTAGTAGAGACGGGGTTTCACCGTGTTAGCCAGGATGGTCTCGATCTCCTGACCTTGTGATCCGCCCACCTTGGCCTCCCAAAGTGCTGGGATTACAGGCGTGAGCCACCGCGCCTGGCGCGGTAAATTGAGTATTATTTACAATTACTCAAATACATGAAACAGTTATGTGTAAATCTAACAAAACATGCAAGACTTGCAAGCTAAAAACTATGTAATGCTGGTGAACGATATCAAAGAAGATCTATTCAGTCTCTATCTATGTGGAGAGAAATACTGTTCATGGATTGGAAGATTCAATATAGTAAATATGTCAATTCTCCCCAAACCAATATACAAGTTTAACACAATTCCAATCAAAATCTTTGCAAGATTTGTTAATTATAGGTAGGATTACTCTAAAATTTACAAGGAAAGGCAAAGGGACTAGAATATCTAAAATATTCTTTTTTCATATTATTATATTTTATTGTAGTATGTGTAGTGTATACTAACTTAAAGGGAAAAAATGTAAACAAAATGAAAGACATGGGGAAAATGGCATCTTGCTTTAATCTTCAACTTAAAGTTACCCTTAACAATTCATTTATACCATTATGCCAAATTGTAGTCATCCCTGCAGAATTTTAGACAAATGAAAATGGACAAGGTAACACCAAAGAGATTAAGCACAGAAAGTGATATTGATTAAAAAGTTGAAAGTAAAATCTACCTTGGCTAGAACTGAACATTCAGATCCATCTCTAGAGGAAAATCTAACATGAATCATATGGTTCCTATTTTGACTAGTTCATAGCATATCAATTAGCAACTTATGACTTGAAAATACTTTTTCTCAGCTGCATTTGACTACCTAAAATCCTACCGAGCACGCTGTTTGGCATGTCTTACTCCTCTGAAATCATCATCTACTTTCTAAAAACCAGAAAATTAGTTTGCTTGTGATTTAAAATTCAAAAAAGTTTGTAGAAAACACAAAAAGAATCAACTATTTAAAGTCTCATCCTTTTCTTCTCTCTAAAACAGCTACTTCTACTAAAAGAAGAGTATGTGGATACTTTCTAAGAACTCAAAAACGAGAAAACCAAAATCAGAGGGTGCATGAATATATGTGCACAAGTATGTACAGATTTAATCTCTATATTCCCTAAAACATATTTAAACAGATAATCCCAGCATTCTAAATTCAGAAAGCAAAAATAAACAGTTTTGTTTCTAAATCAGTGGTATTACTAGCTGAAATGTTTAGTAGAATACTGCACCTATAGTTCAGCAGTACTTTGATTATGTACCATTTAAGAAATCAAAATAATAAGCACATTCTTCTAACAGCAAAGAATTCTCCCACTTTTTATTTTGACATACTGATATTTCCATAAACTTGCAAGTGGAAAATAAGCTGTTCAATAAAAGCCTACTTACATATATAATATACAGAAATTATTTTAGAAGTCTGTTCATATAACAGATTATTTTGGCACTAACAAAAATTGTATACAATCCATCAGTTGTATGGCTAGAAATGAAACCATCACTAAACCAAGACACACAGGGCTTTCCTGCACTTAGTTTCAGGAAAAAGTTCCAAGTAATTCTTACTGTGTTAGAAGAATAAAGTACATTTGTCATAGTATACATTATCATATTCCCTTAAAGCAGGGACTAAAGTTTTTAAATTAAACAATGTCCATGATTACTTCTGTCTGTACATTCAGGAATAATCATATCACTGGTTACATACAATTCTCTCCTCATGCAAAAAAAAAAAAAAAAAAAAACCTGTTGTTTTCTTAAGTCTAATTAAGCCAAACAAACTAATAATAGCAATTTAATTAGCAAGCTATAAATCAGAGAGGTATAAAAATTCAGCAGTTAAACTGTATTTCCCACCTATAGTACTGCTGCTACTCAACCATTTTCTTCATGTATTAGAAGAATTAATAGGCATTGATGGTCAAAATAAGAATTTCAATATTGCAGCAAATGACAGAAGAGTGAGCGAAAGAGTTCCTAATGTGTGACAGTCTTAATGATTCTTTAAAAGGTAAAGGATTGTGTGCATGTGTGTGGAAAGGAGTAGGAAATAAAAGTAGGAGGTTAAGACAGGTATTTAAAGGGAATGCCAAGATAGCTGCATTAGAATCTTTATTTTTTAAAAAACTGAAGTCTGCCCAGAGTACCAAAAACATTAAAAAAAAAGAGCAGACATTGGTGCAAGTTTAACCTGTGAGAAAAAAGCTAGTTTTGATGAGAAAAAGTTCAGTCTTTTCCTTGTAAATACAAAGAAATGCAACAGGAATTTTAAAGGTAGTAGGCCAGAAAATGTAACAGTAACTCTTACAATCCTTTTCTTTCTTTCTTTTTTTTTTTTTGAGACGGAGTCTCGCTCTGTCGCCCAGGCTGGAGTGCAGTGGCACAATCTCGGCTCACTGCAAGCTCCGCCTCCCGGGTTCACGCCATTCTCCCTCCTCAGCCTCCCGAGTAGCTGGGACTACAGGCGCCCGCCACCATGCCTGGCTAGTTTTTTGTATTTTTTTTAGTAGAGACGGGGTTTCACCGTGGTAGTCAGGATGGTCTCGATCTCCTGACCTCGTGATCCACCTGCCTCGGCCTCCCAAAGTGCTGGGATTACAGGCGTGAGCCACCGTGCCAGGTCACAATCCTTTTCAATTAAACAGACAAATCAAGTTGAAGACAAGTGTTAAAATACTATTCAGCCTGAATATTTATCAGCATATATATCCTGTTGTTCAATTGGCTTTTGGTTAAAAAAAAAAGTCAACAAACTTTATAAGAGCTATCACCACATTTAGAGTGATGAAAATAAATTAGTTCCCCCCCCCCAAAGATATTGTTTAACCTCTAAAGCATGAAAAGCTATATAATATACAAATTAACCAGTATTTTTACAAAAGTAATACAGTTTTGGACTGATGATATTACACCGTATTTGTGGTAAAGTACTAGGCACAAGAATATATATATCAATTAGGCATTTTCAGTCTAATCAGTCTTTAAGGTTTTCATTTAATTCTTGGCAATATATAATAACTGGTATGCACTTTGGTACTTAAGTCATGACTTGTGGAGAACGAGAAGCAATGTATTATAGCAACGGGGTTCATATCTAACAAACAATAAGAGTGTTGAACAAATCCCTTCTATGAACTTCGTGATTTATTTTGCTGTTGGTCACTTGCAGTAGATCCTTGATTTGATTCTTCCGTATTCATGCTTTCTCCATGTGCAGTCTCTAACATTTCTTCAACTTTGTCATCATCGTGTAGGTCTTTTGAAATTAATTGTCTAGCTAGTTTGATATTGAGTCCTTCATTGTAGTGAAGCGTCCTTCTCATTTCAAATTGTCGCTTTTTTTCTCGTTCTTCAGGTGAGAGGTCACTATCCTCCTCTCCACTGCTTTCTTGTTCCTGAACCTGATACTTTGGCTCCAAGCCTTCAGCAGCAGCTAAGTTCTTAGCAAGCTATCTGTTGCCATAGCTTCAGTGGTTTCTGTATCACTACATGCATCTTCATCATCACCCATCGTACTATGGTAAGGAGTGCTTGGTTCATCTATTTTCATTAAACCATAGTCTTTGTCTGCTGGACGATATGTCGCCAGGATGTTCATTTCATCCCACTTCTGGGATTTTTTGCTCAGCTGCTCGTGGACACTCCCACGGGGATGTTCGGCCGACGCCACCATAGAGGAAGTCGTAGAGGTGTTGTCCTTCAGGATCCCCTTGAGGGGCCGTTGCGAGGCCGTGGAGGCCGCCATTGCCGGGTGCTCCGCCTGTCGGCTCAGGGTCGCTGCTTGGCGTGGGGTCCGCGAACAGAAGGGTCGGCACTAGCAGAGACCAGCAGGCAGACGCGGAGCCCGCTCAAGGCTAAAGCGGCCGCACCTGCTGCCTCGGAAAGGGGTACCGGAGCGGTTGTCAAGACACAATGACCCCGACGCCAGACTCAAGCGGGGAAAAGCGGGCCTAGAGCTCCAGGGCGGGAGCGACGCCGACGCCTAAAACATTCTTGAAAAAGAAGAATAAAGTGAGTGAAAATCAGTCTGCCCTATTTCAAGTATTGTTTTATAGCTACAGTAATCAAGACTGTGTGTTACTAGCAGAGGAATGGACACACAAATGAGTGGAACAAAATAGAGAACGTAGAAAAAGACCCACACAATCTGCCCAAATGATTTTTGAAAGAGGTGCAAAAGGAAGTCAGTGGAAGAAAAATAGCCTTTTTCACAAATAGTGAATTGAACAATGGTGAAATGGAACAATTGGGCATCCATAGGCAAGACAATAAAATAAAAATGAAACTTGACCTAAGTCTCATGCCTTATGCAAAATTTAATTCCAACTGGATTGGATTGCTTGAGTCCAGGAGTTCAAGACCAGCCTGGGTAAGATAGCAAGACCCTGTCTATACACAAAAATGAAAAATAATGTTGGTGTGGTGGCTCCTGCCTGTAGTCCCAGCTACTTGGGATGCTGAGGCAGAAGGATTGCTTGAGCCCAGGAGTTCGAGGCTGTCATAAGCTGTGACACACCACTGTACTCTAGCCTGGGTGACTGAGCAAGACTCTGTTTCAAAAAAAAAAAAATGTCAGAGAAATGCAATACCTTAACCTTTACCAGATACAATTAATTAAAATAAATAAACAAAATGGATTATGGAGTAAATGTAAAGCATAAAACTCTTAAATTTTAGAAAAATAGAAAATATTTGAGCTATAGGTCTAGGCGAAGAATTCTTAGGCTTGACATTGAGAGCATGATCTATGAAAGGAAAAACTGATAAATTGGATTTCATCAAAATGTAAAACTGTTGCTTTGTGAAGATCTGGTAAGTGGATGAAAAAATGAGCTACACAGTAGGAGAAAATATTTGCAAACTATGCATTGAACAAAGGACTAGTATCTAGAGTATATAAAGAACTCTCAAAACTCAACAAAGAAAACACATTAAAAATCCAATTAGAAAATAGGCAAAAGACTTAAGGTAATATTTCACTAAGGAGGATATAAAAATGGCAAATTAGCACATGAAAAGTCGTTCAACATCATTAGCCATTAGGGAAATGCAAATTAAAACCACAATGAGATAATCGCTCCACACCTATCAGGATGGCTAAAATAAAAATAGTGACAATGGGCTGGGTGTGGTGGCTCACGCCTGTAATCCCAGCACTTTGTGAGGCCAAGGTGGGCAGATGACCTGAGGTCGGGAGTTTGAGACCAGCCTGGCCAACATGAAGAAACCCTGTCTCTACTGAAAATACAAAAGTAGCCAGGTGTGGTGGCACATGCTTGTAGTCCCAGCTACTCGGGAGACTGAGGCAGGAGAATCACTTGAACCCGGGAGACAGAGGTTGCGGTGAGCAGAGATCACACCATTGTACCTAGCCTGGGCAACAAGAGTGAAACTCTTTCTCAAAAAAAAAAAAAAAAAAAAAGCGACAATGCTAAATGCTGGCAAGGAAGAAGAGATACTGGATCTCTCATAATTTCTGATGGGAATATAAAATGGTACAGCCACTCTGGAAGATGATTTGGCAGTTTCTTAAAAACAAAACAAAACCAACAACAACAACAAAAATCCAACAACTAAGCATACTACTACCATCCTGCCCAGCAACTGTACTCCTGGGTATTTAGCCCCAAGAAATGAAAACTTGCATACACAAATACACAAGCACAGACAATGCCTTCACACAAAACCTTGTATGCAAATGTTTGTCTAACTGCCTACTCATTGTAGCCAAAGATAACCCAGATATCCTTTAACAGGTAAATGGTTAAACCAACTGTTGTACACTTATACCATGAAATAATACTCAGCAATAAAAAAGAATGACTGATACACACAACAACCTGGATGAATCTCCAGAGAGTTATACTGAGTGAAAAATGCCAGTCCCAAAAGGTTACATACTGCAGTGAGCTGTGATCACGTCACTTCACTCCAGCCTGAGCAACAGAGCAAGACCCCATCTCTAAAAATAGATAAACAAACAAAAAAGATGGATTACAGAGTAAATGTGAAGTGTAAAACTATTAAAATTTTAGAAAAATAGGAGAAAATCTTTGAGATGTAGGGCCAGGCAAAGAATTCGTAGGCTTGACATCAAAAGCATAATCCAGGCTGGGCGTGGTGGCTCACGCCTGTAATCCCAGCACTTTGGGAGGCCGAGGCAGGCAGATCATTGAGGTCAGGAGTTCGAGACCAGCTGGCCAACATGGTGAAACCCGTCTCTACTAAAAATACAAAAATTAGCTAAGCAAGACGGCACATGCTTGTAATCCCAGCTACTCGGGAGGCTGACTCATGAACATCACTCGAACCTTGGAGGTGGAGGTTGCAGTGAGCTGAGATGGTGCCACTGCACTCCAGCCTGGGTGACAGAGTGAGACTCTATCTCAAAAAAAAAAATAAATAAATAAAATAAACTTTATTGAAAAGAAAAAAAAAGCACAATCCATTTGTATAACATTTTGTATTAAGAAGCTTGAAATGACAAAAGTACAGAAATAGAGAAAAAATTCATAGTTGCCAGTGGTTAAGGAAGTGATGGGGGTGGGAAGGAGGTGAACCGACCATAAAAGGGCAAGATAAGGGATACTTGGAGTGACAAAAATACTGTCTTGACTGTAATATTGACATTGACACAAATGTCAATATCCTGATTGCAATACTGTACTGAAGTGTTATAAGATGTTACCATCAGGGAAACTGGATTAAAGGGTAAAAGGTTCTGTCTGTATTATTTCTTACAACTGCATGTCACTCTCTAATTACCTCAAAATAAAAAGTTAAATTTAAAAAACATGTATGAGGATGTGCATAGTTTTTCAAAATACATTTAAGAAGTTCATGAGTGGAAAGTTTGAGTGAATAAAAATTATATCTGGAATTCTGGTTTGCAAATTAGCCTGGGAAATGTAGCCTGACTCAGTGTGACTCAGTTCTATACCACTGTTCTCAGCTCTGCTGTTGCTCACTGCTAATGTTGAAGCCAGATATCTCTTGAGTTGCAGGGCAACCAAGATCCCATGATCCAATGTTGCTCTCACTCACCTTGGCCTTTGAGAGAGAACAGGAAAGAAGATGGAGAAGAAGGATTTTCCCTTTGCCCCATTTTCCTCTTTTTGGGCTGAACTGTGTCCCCCTATAAGTTCATAATGTTGAATAAACCCAGTACCTCAGAACGTGAATTTTTTTTGGAGTTAGAGTCTTTAAAAAGTTAATTAAGTGAAAATGAGGTTATGAAAGTAGGTCCTAATATAGCTAGTATCCATATAAAAAGAGATTAGGACATACATACACAGGGGGCAGTCCATAGGAAGATGCAGGGAAAAGACAACCATCTGCCAGCCAAGGACAGAGACCTCGGAAGAAACCAACCCTGCTGACACCTTGATCTCACATTTCTAGACTCCAGAGCCAGGAGGCAATAAGTTTATGTTGTTTAAGCCATTCAGTCTGTGGTATTTCTTATGGTAGCCCTAGCAAACTAATACATCCTCCTATATTTGGACATAGGCCTGTCCTTCTTGATTAAAGGAATGTAAAAATAAGACTGTTGTCAAAGTTTTAACAAGACTTTATGAAGGCTTGGGCAAAATTGAAAAAGAAAAGACAATAGAAAATTCTTCCATTCTGATCACAGATATTATAGATGTAAGAGATCACAGGCTCCAGTCATCTAAGGGTTCTCCAACTAGAAATAGACGGCTGATGCTACTAATACCTGCCATGTTCCTTGGGCCTTACCACTGTAGTGCACACTGGCTGGACATTTGCATCATTCCTGAAGGCTTCCTCAAAGCCAAGAAGGGCCACTCTGCCCGACTCACAGCAGACTAGAAGGGCCGAAGAGTTCACGTGTCAGGCAGCAGCCTTCAACCAATGGGAATTGATGTACAATTGCCCAACTCCCTCCTTCCGTGGCTGGGTTAACTCTGAGGCAAGTGCTTTCCCAGAATTTCCCCAGGGGATTAAGTTCCAGTCATTCACCCTTCGTTGGCTGTTTTCCCTTCCCAATCTTTTACTCAGCTGCTACTGAAGTTTCATGCACCTCCAAAATAAATTACTTTCATTCATGTCCCTGTGTCAGGGACTGCTTCTGGAAGAAACCAAACGAATGCACCCCGGGTTAGCTTCTAATTTGCTTCACAGCAGTAAAGGTCAACTTTTCTTTGCATTACCCAAGAGAAAACTTAGCCATTACCTCATCATGGTGCTTGGATCCCTAGAACCCTGTCTCTCATGAAACCCTGATTCCTTCCTTTCCTTGTCAAGATCTTTCCTTACCCAGCATGGATGACAGTCCATTCTATTGAGTACTAAGAAAAGAGAGTTTAGAAACTGTCAGAAATATTTTTATTTCATTCAAATTTGTAATATTCCGTAGACCAGAAACAGCACACTCTTTGATCCCATCCTTGTATGCCCAAAATATCTGAGTTGGAGGAGGCACTGACCCTCTGTCACACAGTTTAACTGGATTACAGAGTGCAAGACCCCAAAACCAGTTCCTGACACTCTTTCTGTCTTCAGCCTGTGGATTCTTATCACTTCCACAGAAGAAAATTGGCTCTAAGATTATCCGGAGTACTTCCCAAATCTATTATTTATGGAACAAGTGCTGACTTCAGATATCTAGTAATCTAAGGTTTTTCATCTCCAAAGACCTTTCTTTCATTTGGCCTCTACTGGGTTTTCTATTTTATTTATTTATTTATTTATTTATTGAGACAAGGTCTCACTCTGTCACCCAGGCTGGAGTACAGTGACCTGAACATGGCTTGCTGTATCCCTAACCTCCTGTGCCCAAGCAATCCTCCTGCTTCAGCCTCCTGAGTAGCTGAAACCACAAGTGAGCGCCACCATGCCCAGCTAATTTTTTTTCTTTACTTTTCTTTTTTTTTTTTTTTTTTTTTTTTGTAGAAACTGAGTCTCGTCATGTTGTCCGGGCTGGTCTTGAACTCCTGGGCTCAAGCAATCTTCCTGCCTTAGCCTCCTAAATGGTTAAAGGCATGTGACCATCACACCTGGCCTACCATGGTTTTCAAATGTAAAATTTTAAATGAAAAATCTTAATCTTTTGGTCATTGCTGTTTTGCTGTGGTCTGTCTCCCATGGCATGAGGGGAAATGCGTTATCTGCCTCTGTTGTAGAAAGATGCCTGAGGAAAATAATCCTCAGTTGATGTCTCAGGATTTTTCCTGCCATATACCTGGAATGTGTAAAAGCACAGGAAATATCCTAGTATAACACAAACTACACACAGTTACCTTTGGGACCTAGAATGGAATGGGGAGGAGGGAGAAACAAAGGAGACCTTTTACTCCGTACCCTTCTGTATGGTTTGAACTTGTTGTTTTTTTTTTATAGACGGAGTCTTGCTCTGTAGCCCAGGCTGGAGTGCAGTGGCACAATCTTGGCTGACTGCAAGCTCCGCCTCCTGGGTTCACGCCATTCTCCTGCCTCAGCCTCCCGAGTAGCTGGGACTACAGGCGCCCGCCACCACGCAAGGCTAATTTTTTGTGTTTTTAGTAGAGACGGGGGTTTCACTGTGTTAACCAGGATGGTCTCAATCTCCTGACCTTGTGATCCGCCCGCCTTGGCCTCCCAAAGTGCTGGGATTACAGGTGTGAGCCACCGCACCCGGCCGGTTTGAACCTTTTATAACAAGAGTGAATCCAGATATTTACTATGTAATTTTCTCATTTAGTCTAATCATTTAGACTAAATGATTAGAAGAAACAGGACTTAAAAAGAAATGAATGAATTTCCACTAGGGGGTGGTAGAGAATCATAATCCATATCATAGTCTGAAACTGAAGGGCAAAAGGAAATAGTCAAGTTCAGAATCACATGCTGCAGCCCATTTGTAATTATAAATCTTTATTAACTAGCTCAGTGTGAGATCTAATTTCTTCATAAATGCCCAATAATATATAATATGCTCTTTTGAGCAACGCTTTTCAGATTATGTTCTCATACAGCCTTTTACAGCCCTTTACAGCTTTTCTGTAAACTGGGCTGAGATGTACCACTAAATGAAATTGAATGATAGGAGTCCATTGTGGTTGGAATAGATACACACAGTGATTGATTTAGGTAGATTAGAAGGTGGATGGATAGATAGATAGATAGATAGATAGATAGATAGATAGATAGATAGATATGCGCACACACATTCCTCTCCTTGAGTCCCCCTGGGTAAGCCGAGGCATGAGTACTCTGAAGGAAAAGCAACCATGAGTGAGCTGCAGCATCCTTACTTAACCTCCAAACTTAACCTTTGTTGTAATATATATAGAAAAATGAGTTCCGAATTCCCTCCTTAATCTCCAACATGCAGGCACTATGCCTCTGCCCAGTTTCTTTACCCATGCCTTTTATTATATCCCATCCCCAACTGAACCCTATCTCGACCTGGTCAATAGGTGTGAGACCCAGATATTCTTATCCGGGAGATGCTATTTCTTTTTTTCCAGAGGCCAGAGGTGGTTTTTAGTAACCACCTGTATCATTTTGCAGGGGCTTCTTAAATGCGTGGCCAGACTCACCTCACTGTGCCTAGGTGCCAATATGGCCTCTCAGCTTTATTCCCCTTGCAATCCAAAATCTGCCAGAACTGGACAGCAGTTTGATCCTTGAATTAGACCGTGGTTCATGATGCTTGCTTCTCACCCTCCCACCAGCTGTGCTTTATTTTTCTTTGATTCTAACTATTACAGAAAAGACAAGTCAGACTCCTTCATCGCTGGGCAAAGTTCCAAGTAAACTGCATTGGGAATCCTTGGCATTTTAACAATGGCTCACTGCTCCCCTTGTGACTAATGGGCAACACAGGCCTGTTTATGAGTTCAAGTCTCTGTCCCTGGATCATGTAATTTTAATTGTTCTGTTACTTCATTTCAATCCTGGTCCCCACAGCATTTTTCTCACTGTTCATTTTCAAATTTAGTGTCCAACCTATTACTGTGTGCTTTTCTTAATCCCTAGACCAAGCACTCTCTGGCTTGCTCATTTTCCCACTTGGGCACCCTGGATCCCAGCCAGAGGTGGCCCTTACCACTTGGCTCCTCCCTCAGTGCCCTTGGACCTCTTTGGCTCGTAACTGCTTCTGCTGAAGGTCATCCTTTTGGCTCCATGATCTTCATGGCTGAGGTTGCTTCATTACTTCTGGAGGGAAATCTTGCTGCTTTCTGTAAACATTTTTTTCTCATGGCATATTTATGTGGAACTGTGCCATTTCTTTTCCTACTTATTCTGAATAAATTGAGCATTCCTGGACCAGATATTAGTGGAAGACTCCTATTGGATGGGGGTGGGATGATGGGTTGGTGAGAGAAGACATGGGCAATAGTAACCTCCCAGGTTTTACAACCGAAGGACCAATCCTTTATTACTAACACGTAAACTTTATCTTAAAATACGCTGCATCCATGTTTTTTCCAACTTGGGGAATTTAATCTATTTCAGGAAGGATTCTACCACGGTGTTAGGACCCCCTGCATTCCAGAGGGAACCTTTGTTATCTGCCACCTTGGAACCTCCAAAACAAAGTCTGCTCCCCCAATATGTGGGCCTTCTTCTGCCTTCCCCAGCATCTGGGCCTCACTGTAGCTCAGGCCAACTGCCAACAGCTCCAACCTAGGCTGGCTTCTACTCTTAGAGAGAGAATATTTTCGGGCCCTTTCCGAGATCCCGCACCACTAGTTCCCTCCACGCTTTCATCTGTTGCCACAGCAACATTTTGGCTTCTTATGCCCAGTTCTGCTCTCCGTTGCTTTAAGCACAAATGACATGCAATTTGGGATGTAACCATACTTTTTGTTTCCTAGTTTCACTAAAAATGAGGTTCTTGTGTGGTTTTCTTTTTCATTCTCTTTGCTGTACTATATAGAGAAATGAATTCTGAACTGAATTCCCTCCATATTCCTAGCAAAAACATAACTCCTTTGAATTGCAATTTTGATTTCCTTTTCAACCCAAAAATTAGTGAGATGTTTTTAAGTTTCCAAGTGGAGGCTTTCTTGTTAGTACTGTTTTGGTGAGGTTTTGTTTTGTTTTATTTTAGTTTTGTTTTGTTTTTCTATGTATGTGTTTTATACCGGTGAGAGAATATAGCCCGTGTAGTTTCTAATTTCTATTTAATTTTACTTTGTGGTTTAATGCATTATGTTTGGGAAAATATGCATTCACTATTTGTTGAGTACACAATTTTATAAATATTTGATAACTTAAGATCATTATTTGCTTTAGCAAAATATCTTACATTCACATTATTTTACAATTGGATATGACAGTTTAGTTTAAAAGTATGCTAAAAGCTCTTAAATGTGTCAATTTATCCTTCCTAACAAAGCACATTTTTTTCCCTAACTTTCAAAGACTTGTTTAGGATATGAAGGCTTATAACTTATGGGTAGTTGGTGAATTGTACATTTTAGCATAATAAAGTATCCTTCTTTGACACTGAAAAATTTCTTCATCATTTATTCTACTTTGTTCAATATTAGTATTTGTAATGGTTTGAATGTGTCCCCAAAAAGCATATGTTGGAAATGTAATATTCAATGCAACAGTGTTAGTAGGTGAGGCTTAATGATGAGAGGTGTTTAGGTCATGACGACTCCATCCTCATAAATGAATTAATGCCAATTACAAAAAGGCTAAAAGCCTGTGAATTCAACCTGTTGCACTTGGGCGCTCTCTCTTTCTCTTTCTCTCTCTCAGCTCTCTTTTTATCCCTTTTGCCTTCCACCACAGTATGAGGCAGCCAGAAGATTTTTGCAAGATGCAGGCCTCTCAACCTTGGATTTCCTAGCCTCTAGGACTGTAATAAGTCAATCTCTGTTCTTTAAAAATTATCCAGTCTTGGATATTCTATTATAGCAGCACAAAATGGAGTAAGACAGTATTTCTATCCATAATTAATTTTTGTTAGCATTTGCCTGAGTTTATCATTGTCCATTGGTTTAATCACTCGGTGTCATTTTGTTTTAGGTGCTTTTTGTTTGTTTTTGTTTTTATTTTGAGACAGGGTCTCAGTCTGCCGCTCAGGCTGGAGTGCAGGGGTGCGACTACGGCTCACTGCAACCTCAACCTTCCAGGCTCAAGCGATCCTTGCACCTCAGTTTCCTCAGTAGCTGGGACTACAGGCATGCACAACCACGCCTGGCTAATTTTTTTATTTTTGTAGAGATAGGGTCTCGCTATGTTACCCAGGCTGATCTCAAACTCCTGGGCTCAAGTGATCCTCCCTCCTTGGCCTCCCAAAGTGCTGGGATTACAGGTATAAGCCATTGCCACCAGCACTTTTTGAATAGCAAATACACACACACACACACAGACCATCTTTACTGAGCAGAAAAATTTAGATTTAATGCAATGATATAAATGGACATTACAAATGCATATATATCTGGATTACTTCTGCCATCATATTTTTATATTTACCATGTTTTTTCATTTTTTAGTCTTCTGTCTCAATAAATTTCATCAAATTGCCTTTGTTACTTCTGTCTCTATGCAAATGATTTCTTATACATCTTTTTCCTTTTTTCTTATGATCCAGTTTTTGAAATATTTTTCTACAAATAAGTAATGCATGTGATGCATATCTACAAGAATTTTAAACATCCATTTTTTCCCACCAGTCACATGAAGGAATGGAACGTTACCCTTAACATTAAAGTTTCCTGTATTTGTCTTCCCTTAGAATCTCCCTTCCTCTCTGCAAAATGCAACTATTATTCCAAATTTGGAGTTGATCATTATCTTGCTTTTCATCATAGTAAATATTGTCTTTGTCTGACAACAAATTAACATCATAATTAATATCAAAATGTAGTTTTCTGTTGTTTTCTTCATTCAACAATATGATTTTAAGAATTATGCAAGTTTATTATTTTATCTGTATTCCACTGATCTTGATGTTGCAGAGAATTCCACATTATGATTATGCCAAAATTTGTGTATCAGTTTACCTGCAAATGGACACTGGGTTGTTTCCAGCTTTTTGCAATTACAAAGAATGCTCTCATGACTTTTCCTGCACATTGCTCTTGGTGCCTTATTCAATAATTTCCCTAAGGTGCATATATATTTAAGGGTAGAGCTGCTATGCTTTAGGATATTCTCAGCTTCAACTCTACAAAATGCCAATTTTTTTCCAAGTAGATTATTTCAGTTTGAAGTCCACCATCAGAGTATGAGTTCCCCTCACCCTACATCCTCATTGATTTTTGATAATGTTAGACTTTTCAATGTTTGTCTATTTAGTGATTTTAAAATGTTATTTCAAGGACTGTTCTAATTCACAATTCTCTGATAACTATTGTGAGCTTAACTTTTGTACGTTTATTGGTCTTTTATATATCCCTTTTTGTGAACTGCCCTTTCACATCTTTTGATCATTTTCCTATGGGGCTATTCTTAGATGTTCTGGATATTGATCCTATGTAAATTATGTGTGATATAAATAAGTTTAGATTGTGGCTTTTTTTCCTTTAGAGTGTGTTTTGATTAAAGTTTCTAATTTTAATGTGGTCAAATTTATTCATCTTCTCTTAACATTTTTGTTTTTAAAATGTGTATGTGTGTCTTTTTAATAAATATTTTTCTACCTTGAAGTCATACAAATATTTCTTTCACATTTTCATTTAAAAGTTTTACAGTTTTGCCTTCAATACGTCGGTACTTAGTTCATCTGGAATTTATTATGATGTATATATATCCACTAATCCAGTGTCATAAATTCAAACTTATTGAATTATACATCCTTTACCCACTGGTCTTTAATGACCATTCTTCACATACAAGGGGTCCTGACACTCTTTCCATTCTATTCTATTGGCCCAGTTGTCTACTCCCTCTCTCACCAATAATAGCACATGGTCTTAAATCCAGTGGTGTATATAATATCTTCTCATGTAGTCAGGAAATTCCCCAACTTCCTCTTTATTTTCAATGGTATTTTGGCTCTTCTTGAACTTGTGTTCCTTCGTTTCATTTTAATATCATTGTGTCCAATTCTATAAAACATTTTGTTGAAATTTTTCTAGAAATAGCATGAAACTATAGATCACATTGGGGAAAACTGGCATTTTAATGATATTGATGCTTCCTAACCATGAATGTGTCTCTCCATCTGTGCAGTACTTCTTCAACTTCTTTTAATGATTTTAATTTTCCCCACTAAGATCTTGCATGCCTTTCCTTTTTGAGAATTTATTCCTGATTACAGTGGACCCTTCAACAATGCGAGGGTTAGTAGCGCTGACCACCTGTGCAGTCAAAAATCTGCACATAATTTTTGACTCCTCCAAAACTTTACTAATAGCCTACTGTTGATCAGAAGTCTTACCAATAACATAAAGTTATTTAACATATATTTTATATTTTTATGTGTTATATACTGTACTCTTACAGTAAAGTAAGCTAGAGAAAAGAAAATGTTGGCCAGGTGCGGTGGCCCATGGCTGTAATTCCAGCAGTTTGGGAGGCTGAGGCAGAAGTGCTTGAGACAAGGAGTTGGAGACCAGCCTCAGCAACATAGCGAGACCCCATCTCTACAAAAAATTAAAAATTTAGCCAGGTAGGGTGGCGTGCACCTGTAGTCCCAGCTACTTGGGAGGCTGAGGTGGAGAATCGCTTGAGCCCAGGAGGTTGAAGCTACAGTGAGCCATGATAACACTGCACTCTAGCCTGGGCAACAGAGCAAGACCTTGTCTCAGAAAAGCAAAGAAAATGTTATTTAAAAAATCATAAAGAAGAGAAAATATATTTACTATTCATTAAGTGGAAGTGGAGCATCATAAAGGTCTTCATCCTCATGTCTTCATGGTGAATATGCTAAGAAGGAGGAAGGGGAGGAGAGGTTGGTCTCGCTGTCTCAAGGGTGGCAAAGGCAGAAGAAAATCATATATAAGTAGACCTGCACAGTTCAAGCCCATGTTGTTCAAAGGTCAACTGTACTGTAAGTTTGTTATATAAACCAGTTAATCACATTTCTACTTTTTTGTTTTTATAGAAAATGCAATAGATTTGTTTATATATTTAGCCAACCACTGTGCCAAACTCTTAATTCTTATGTTTTAGATTATTTTTCTCTGTAGACAATTGTATCATCTATGAATAATGAAAGTTTGCTTTATTTCATTCCTATCCTTCCAACTTTTTTTTTGGTCTGTTGTTAAAAGCCCCCCTATCCCATGCCTAAGTAATAAGTAATCTCAATATTACATTCCATCTCATATAATAAAATTTGACTTCCTAAAAGGGCTTGCTTCTTTTTAATTCAATGTCAATGCTGGAATTTCAGTTCTTAGCCTTGAAACCCTGGTGAAAAAATTCTCAGCAAGGTAAGAAGGAAAAAAATGTTCTCCCCTGCTCCTGAAGCTGGAGAGAACAATAAATGAAAACTGTTGTCATAAATGGTTATTTCTAACAATTTTTCAAACCCCTAGACTTCAAATATTTTGGACAGGACCTGACAAAATGACCCTTAATCTGTAAAACATCTGTACTTTTGACCACTCATCTTTCTTAATAATTCAGTTCTCTGGTGATAATGTTTGAGCTTAAAATCTCTATCTTCAGAAGGTAACGTGATTTGTGAATTTTCTGTCAAATCAGGAAAGAATCACTGGCATTGCCCTCTTCCCACACATGCATAGGATAAAATAGCTCTACTGGACTTTTTATTAATCAAAGAGCCCGAGAGACAGCTGAATGGCTGAACCAAGCAGAGAGTGGAAACTTGGGGAGGGTAATTCCTTGCTGGGCCTTAAAAGGAGTCCACAAGATAGGAAAAAAACGAAAAAGCCAAATAAGATGAACCTCTATTCAGGCCCCAATGAGAGGCTGCTTGACTCTGATCTTTCGTTAGCTGGCTCAAAATTTTGTTCTTAAAGAATTATTTTTACTCAAAATCAAGAACTGTTAGAAAACAAGAAAAATTATGGAGTTTTGTTGTTGATTTCCACCTCTCTACATATATATATGAAATACATATCTCCTCCCGATACACATGCACACACGCAAAAACATATTTAACTGAAACAACGGTTTCATGAAACTATAGTTACTCTCATTACCTGTGATGCAGGCAAGTATTTTCAATTGTATTTTATTCTATTTCATTCTACTTGGAAAAAAAGTCTTTTGGTCTCAACATAAATGGGTTCTGACCTGCAGTTTCAAGCCAATACGTTACAGTAAGAGTAAATGTAGGGTTTCTCCCAGTTTTATCTGGCAGTCCCAAAGTCAGGATCAGAGTAACCGATGGAGCATCATTTGTACGCTCCACGTCTGAGGAGGAGGTCTGGGAAAAGATCCAACGTGTAGGACTGGCGCAGAGGCTCAGGCCTGTAATCCCAGCACTTTAAGAGGTGGAGGCGGGAGGATAACTTGAGGTCAACAGTTCGAGACAAGCCTGGCAAACATGGTGAAACCCCGTCTCTACTAAAAATACAGAAATTATCCAGGCGTGGTGGTGCGCACCTGTAGATCCAGCTCCTCGGGAGGCTGAGGCACGAAAATCGCTTGAACGCGGGAGGCGGAGGTTGCAGTGAGACAAGATCACACCACTGCACTCCAGCCTGGGCGACAGAGCGAGACCCTGTCTCAAATAAAAAAAATAATAATAATAATCCAATGTGTCCCTAGTCTGGCTTTCAGGGTCTTAGATGAGGTTCGGAAGTGGACTTAGGAGCCTTAGGAGCGCAGCCAGTGCTGTGGATTCCCACATCCACGTGACCTGCGGTTTCGCGTTATTCCATTCAGGGATAGATGACGTCCCTCATTTCTACCTACCAGTGGGCTGGTCAAGATTCTCATTTATCAAGTCAGTTGGAGTGGGCTTAAGTAAGTTCTCAGCCAAGGCTGTGGGGTCTGGAGGACCAGATATCCCGACCAAAAGCCCCCCCTCCCATTCCTTTCACACGCCTGCCGCAGAGGTGCACGGGTGCGAGTGGGGAACTGAGGCAAGAAGCAGATGGGGCGGCACCGAGAGAAGAGAAACTACGCTAGAGGAAAAGCTCGAGCTGTTACCCCTCCCAACTTCTTCCGCCTTCCGCCTTCCCCCTTCCCCCTCTTTCCCCTCTTGCCCCTCTCCAGCTTTTCTGGTCCAACCCTCTTCTGCGCCTAACACTGGCACCTCCTTTTCTTCCGGCTGATGAATAATTGTCCGCAAACCAGCCTCTCTGGGGCACTGAGGGGCGGGAAGGTTAGAAGGAGCCAGGGCTAGAGTCCTGGAAGGTGGCAGTCAGGTCGCAGGGCCACAGCAGTCACTCTGCGACTCTCTCTTCCGGTGTTTCTCCAGCGCCAAGCGGGAGAAGACGGAGCCTGGGAGCTGGGACTGGAGGAGCGGGAAGCGCAGTATCGGGACCACGGCTCTGGGACCAGGAAAAACGCAGACTCTCCAGAGTCAATGTCTACTTCAGCCAGCTCAAGGGCGCGACAACCTGGCGCCGAGCATCTCAGGCCGCCGCGGGGACCCCCCCTAAGGGACTCGGGAACACCTGCCTACCCTAGAAGAGGCGGAGAATAACCCCGTAGGGAGTTAAGCGGCCTCTGCCTACAGCGTTCCTCCCGCCTCCACGGCGCCGAGCCCTGATTGACGTTCAGCCAGGCCAATCATAGCCTGTGTCTGAGGCGCGCGGAGCTGGAGCGCCCAGGGCATGTCCGCCGATCCCAAGGAGGCAATCTGTCAGGCGCCGCCCGGGCGGCAGTATGCCTGAGGGGGTCCTCCGTGTTCGCGCCTCCCGCCGCCTGCACTGAAAGGTCTGTACCTGAGCCTGGATACTTGAACAGAGGCAGACACTGCGGCTCAAAACCCCAAGGGTAGGTGCCTATTGTGCGGAGTCTCGGAACGCCTGCCTGGAAGAAGAGTTCCGGCGGCTCCCCGAACGCTTGGAGAAAGCGCTTGGATGCAGTTGCAGGGTGAGATTTGAGACGGTGATTGTGTTTTCCAGCAGGCGCTCAGGCGGGGTGGTGAAGGAGGGATACAGACCTCTAAAGATTCCTCTCTCGTTGGGGTGAGGTGGGGAACAGCAGTGACAGTAGTTCTCATCCCTGAGCCTCCTCCGGGCCGGCCCGTGGAGGAGAGAGAAGGGGAGGGAGAAGGGTTTGCCCAGGCCTTCAGACACTTTACTTTGTGGGAGATGTATGTGCTGAGTGTCCCTGCTCTGGAGGGATTGTTAAAGAATCCAGGTTCTTGGGGAGTGTCTCAGGAGAACACTCCAGGTGATATCCTTATTCTTCCTATTTTCACCGTGTTGGTTTTTTTTTGGATATAACTTGTTCCCTTTAACCCGAGGTGGCCTTGGTGTCTGGCAGCTGTTTTCTCTGCCAGGCACCACCCTCTGGGCCTCACGTCTTCATCCCTCAAGTCCGCTGCCTCTGAGCTGCTACTTAGATCTGGTCTGTTTCTACCTCTGCTGGACCAGAAGTTTGCATTAACGCCCCCACCCCATCCTGCAAGACCGGCGCTTCCAACCAAGGGCTCTCTCCTCTGAACCTAGAACCTGCTTGGAAATCGAGTATTTCCTCTATGCCCAGGTGGAGATTGATGTTTGGGTTTCACATCTCCCAACTCTGTTGGGTACTATGTCGTTTCTCAGCTTGGTTGTATGTGCCTCCATTGAGTGGACCGTATCTCCAGAATTTCTCCTAACCCTCCCAGTGTACTCCCCTGCAATCCTTTCTTTTTTTCTCCAAATCCCCCACCCCCCACCAGAAATGACTTTACCCCTGTGCCACTTATTTTGGCCTGGAGCACTAAGGAGCCATACTACACCCAATGCCAGAGGTGGAACAGAAATGAGGTTTGAAATGGGAACCAGAAGCTAATCTGTGGGAAATTCTTTTACTCCTCAGACGTGTAAAGATGTGTTGGAGACTCTCGTAAATATGTATTCAGTAATGCAGCATATACAGTGATCACCATGTATTCATTTTTTATGGGAATCAACAATTCAGAATGATCAAAAATCCCTGTGTGTAGAGACATGAATCTATAGGAATATCACACATAGTGAGCACAACTGTGAGTGAAATCCCATGTTTCATGCATCCCAGCAGTCCCAAAGGGAGCCTCCAAATGTGTACGGGATTCAGACTCCATGTAACCTGCATCTGTCTATGCACTAGCTATGTGAGCTGTTACCTCAGTCTTGATGAGGTTACTCAGGAAGTCTGGGATCTTGATTTTTGCCGGTCACTGATCACCTGGCTACAGGAAAGGAGACCTAAATCCAGAACTTAAATTTATGAACACCAGGTCTGTAGGCACTAGACCTCAGAAGTAGGTGAGTAGGTGGCTATTGGTTGGTCCCTTCTGGAGTGAGGCAGAGATACCTATGCCATATGCAACATAAAAGGTTGCCTGAGCCCCTCAGCCTGAGGTAGAGTAAGGAGGGAGAGGTGGAGAGGGACTTTCTTCTCAGACCAGGGAAATCAGAAGCCATCAGATGCCTTCAGTAGGGAATCCAGCACAAAGAGGATCATAAGTCATCTCCCCACTTCTCTATAGTCATCATAGACGTAATTGCTAACCTACCCTTCCTTGGTGCTCTGGTTAGTAGAGTGAAGTTGAGATAATATAAATGAAAAAACTGAGCAGAAAGGGAGTGAGGATACGGGGCCTCTTCAGTTTGCCTTATGGGCTTCCCACTCTAAATAGATGAGGTACACAACATTCTGGCAGTATCACACTAGGGCCAGAGTTGGTAGCTCACAGATGTACGATAGAGGATGGAAGGAGTATGCCTCTCAGGCAGGCAAGTTTAGCCTGGTAGACAGAGGATGTGGCTTAAAAGTCACTGCCTACAAGACCAGTGCATGCAAGTGAGTCCCTGCTGCTGCTTGGATCAGAGGAGGTGAGGCAGAAGGCTGATGAAAACCCACCAACTGATGGTCAGTCCGAGAAGCAGTCAAGATGGAGAACTGCAAAATTAACAGCTTAAGTTTTCCAGGAGTCTCAGTGCCCAATGTCAGGTCTACCAGGGATGTCCAGCCCCTCTGGTCAGAGCCCCAGGAGCCTTGTCTGAATGTGGATCCCCTCTGCTTATTCAAAGAGACCTGGGAAGCTGAGCCAGGAACCTGGATAATGACCAGAAAGTCACCCAGACACCTGAGAAATGCCTCCCTTATATCCAAGAGATCCCTGTGTGTAGAACACATGAATCTATTGGAATATCACACACAGTGAGCAGACTCTTCTTACACTTACTAAACTCTCTTCGTAGATTTACTAAATTTTTCACCAGTGACTCAATGGAGCGAAACCAGGTCCCAGACTCGATTTAAAAAAAAAAACCACACACACACACACACAAAAAGTTCTTTAGGTGAGCATGTATGCATGTGTAAATGGTACTATACAATGGTATGATTGGATAGTCAAAGGAATATCTAACCCAAGTGTACATAAGGAGTAAATTTGGAGTCAGAGGAAGTTGGTCATTGTAGGAAAGTAACTGCTGCAAGAAAGATTTCTTAGAATGTAACTGTCTAATATGAGGCATTTATGCCTCTTTTCCTCCATGTTTCTAGTTTCTGCCTTGGGTTTGGCATTTATTGTTTATCCTGCTTCAAGTATAAGACTAGTGGTTTATTCGAGGGCCCACAACTTCCACTTCTACCCTGGCGTCACACAGATCATTTTCTCTTCTCAAGTCATTGTATTTTCACTGGTAGTAAAAGAGGATAATATCTTCATCTTCAAATAAATTAGTGGGAGGGATTCAAATTATGAGGGAAAAGAAAAATTGGTTCTTCTGCTGTAGGGAAGGGTTACTGAAAATTAAAGGACAACCTACTGAGCTGAAGAGAGCTTTGGGGTTTGGTAATTTGGGGTGTGAGGTGGATCTTCAGGAATGCCATGGGCTTCAAGACTAGTGTGTCTCTCCCTTAGTATGTTCCTCCTCAGTTTGAGAGGACTTCCTGGTAAAGGACTGAAAGAAATGTCCACTCCATCATGTCTCTGCTGACACCTAGCTTCTCTTCTCCAGTTATAAGTCCATTTTCCTACTGGGGTAACACAAGAAAGAGGAAGAATAGCTCAGGGGTCTTCCCTTCACATCTCTCCTACAAGGATTGTGAAATGTCATATGCCTCCTCCCATAGACTTAGACAGACCTAAAATTGTCAACATGTGTCCAGATAGTTGCAAAAAATATATAATTTCCAACATATTCTCCATATTAACACTTTAAAATAAAACTGTTAATCGCTCATATGTTCAATTCAATCTAAATATCATAATGTTTTGACACCCATTATCATTAATTTAAAAAATATACAAACAACCTCTTTCTTAATGGTTGGAAATTTTACATTGCTCTTTTTTCCCACTTTGAATTCATATTTTTATTCTACCCCCCATGTAGAATTTTTCTTTTTCTTTTTTTTTTTTTTTTTGAGTTCTCAACCCTGGTTACATCCTAATGTAATTTTTTTCTTTGTTCTTGGAAATCTTTTATTGAGCCACCTATTCTGCTTCTTTGCAACAAAATATGTTCTTACATTGAATTTTTAATTTCTTGTTGTAAGTGTAAAAGTTATATGGGCTGGGTGCAGTGGCCCACACCTGTACTCCCAGCACTTTGTGAGGCTGAAGCAGGAGGATTACTTGAGCCCAGGAGTTCAAGACCAGCCTAGGCACATAGGGAAACCTCATCTCTACAAAAAAAAAAAAAAAAAAAAAATTACTGGACATGGTGGCTCCTGCCTGTAGTCTCAGCTACTTGGGAGGCTGAGGTAGGAGGATCACTTGAGCCCAGGAGGTCGAGGCTGCAGTGAGCCATGATCGTGCCACTGCATGCACTCTACCCTGGATGACAGAGTAAGATGCTGTCTCAAAAAAAAGTTATATGGATTAAGATAGGATTACCAACTGTTAGAGATCAAAATAATGTCAGTACAGATTGGATATGCCTTATTTGAAATGCTTGGGACCAAAAGTGTGTTGGATTTCAGATTATCTTGGATTTTAAAATATTTGTATATACATAATGAGATATCTTGAGGCCGGGACCCAAGTCTAAGCATGAAGTTCACTTATGTTTCTTATATACATTATGCACATAGCCTGAAGGTAATTTTATACCATATTTAAAATAATTTTATATGTGAAACGAAGTTGTGTTAAGTACAGTACTTACATGTGGCATCATATTGGTGCTCAAAAAGTTTCAGATTTTGGAGCATTTCAGATTTTCTGATGAGGGATGCTCAATCTGTAATACACATTTTGGTAAATAAAAGTGTAAGTTTGTAATGGTAAAATTTAACTAGAAATGCATCTCTTAATGAGATGGATAGGGACTTTATTTTCCCAATTTCATGTTGACAAATGTTACTTATTGTTAATGAATCTGGGCTGTATATTATTTCAATTAAAAAATTTTAACATGAAAGAACTAAGGAATCTTGATCATATAAATGAATGAGAAAATAAAGACTTGTTGAGGCAACTTCACCCAATTTTTAAAATTTCTTCTTAGTCGTATGCAAAACTCACATAATGGGCTATTATTAAATAATATTTTTAATAATCTGTCAGCTGACAACTCAAGTATAAGGTTCTTCTTCAATTTTGTTGAAAGCAAAGAATTAGAAACCAATTGACTTGCAAAACTATTTTTATACATACATTAGGTTCTTTCACTTTGTTTTTAGAACTATACCAAAGACTTCACAAAGTCTTATAAAATAACTAATAATTATACCTGCTGCTCTTTCCCTTAGAGATACCTTGTTCATGAATCTCAAATTAGATAAAACTAGGGTTAAAGAAAAACAACCCCCCACACACAAAATTGGAGATCAAAAATCAATAGGTTCTTAAAAAATATCTCTTCATTTTTTATGTCATCTGGAAGTGCCTTTTAAAACTATGACACAGAGATGGTGCTGTATAGTTTACAGTTCATGTGTGTGTGTGTTTAATTTCATTATTGTACAAAATTGTTAATTTTATAATCATGCATTTGATAGATGTAAAACAGTGTGTCAGCCTCCAAGCGGGAGAAATTAATCCAAAATAAATGAAGCTGGATTTCTAAAGTTTAGAGCATCACATCCAAGATTGCATTTGGGAACATTCTGTTTTGTATCCATACACAAATGAATTTCTGTTTTTAAGAACACAATTTAATCTACTTAGTGGAAATCAACAGCAAAATGAAGAGAAGGTATTAGATAATTAATAAATATAGGTTTACAGAAATTCTATTACTGACTGCTATTATGTGCATTAATTACAGCAGAATCCACAAAACATTTCCATCAAATTAAATCTTACTCTAGGAGGTATATGATAAAAATAAATAAATGAACAGAGAAATAACAGCATACTATAAACTGTTACCCAAATAGAAAAATATATTTACACTATCCAGAAATCTTTGGTAAAAGTTAATGAAAATATTTCCCCTATTAGTTAGAAGAAGTTCAAGAAAACATACATTAAAATACCTTCAATATGTGTTTGTTTTACTCCAAGATGTGATGTTGATCTGTGAGAAATTAATTTTGAGCGTTTTGCCTCCACTGCCTTGAAATAATGCAAAATAAGCAACTGAGCTGGGGGCAGTGGCTCATCCCTATAATCCCAGTGCTTTGGGAGGCCAAGGAGGGAGGATCGCTGGAGCCTGGGTGACAGAATAAGACTCTCTCTCTCTCTCTGTGTATATATATATATATTTGCAACTGAAGCACAGATGGGACACAGGTAAGTGGGAGAACTCACCAAGCTCTTTGTTAGTATTTAGAGTGTTTCATAGAAAGTTAATATTTCTTAACTTTTTTTTTTTTTTTTTTTTTTTTTACAAATTTAGAATATCCTAGCTCTGAGACAAAAATTGGGAACCTCAGCATGAGTTTGTCACCTGAATGAAATAAAAAAAATCACGTTGAAGGCTGGTGCAGTAACATGTGCCTGTAGTCCCAGCTACTCTGGAGGCTGAGTCAGGAGGATCACTTGAGACCAGAAGTTCAGGAATTCAAGACTGGCTTGAGCAACATAGCAAGACTTCATTTCAAAACAAACAGAAAAAAGCCACCACCTTCAGTATTTCTTGCCAAAGCAAAGGAGCCATTTGTTCTTTACGATGGTCAGGAAAGGAAGCATCAAGGTCATCAAATGAAAAATTTTCAGCATTTCAGCCTCTCTGCTCAGGGAAATACCTGAATCTAGAATATCACAACATGAGCCAAAACCGCCCCATTTCTCATGCCACATGTCACTCTTAACACAAGGTTACTCAACCTCGAGCATGGTTGGCATTTGGGGCTGAATAATTCTTTTTTGTAGGGGGCTGTCCTGGGCATTGTAGGATGCTCATGAGCTACCTCAGTCTCTACCACCCACTAGATGCCAGTAGCATTGACCCCTGATCTCTCTACCCAAGTTGTGACAACTAAAACCATCTCTGGATAATGGAGGAACCTTAAATGCATATTGCTAAGGAAAAGCCAATCTGAAAGGATTACATATTGTATGAGTCCAACTATATGGTAATCTGGAAAAGGCAAAACCATGGAGACAGTGAAAAGGTAGTGGTTACCAGTGGTCCATGGGAAGGGTTGGATGAATAGGTGGAGCACAGAGGATTTTTAAGGCAGTGAAACTATTCTGAATGATACTGTAATGGTGGATACATGTCATACCTTTGTCAAAACCAATAAAATATAACAACCAATAAAACTGCACAAAGAGTGAACCCTAATGTAAACTATGGACTTAATAATGTATCAATATTGGCTCACCAATTTTAACAAATGTACCACACTAATGCAAGATGTTACTAATAGTGGAAACTGGAGGGAAGAGGGCTTGAGGGGACATACAGGAACTCTCTGTAATTCCTGTTCAGTTTTTCTGTAACTGTTAAACTGTCCAAAAAAAGTCTGTTTTTATAAATGGAGGCATGGTTTTATATGGACTAAAATACTATGATTGCCTTTTTATTTTACACATGGTGAAATTAGAGCAGGACATATTTTAAACTCAAAATTCACAAAATTAATTTATGAAAATGTTTACCCAGATCAAGAATATTAAAGAAACTTAGATTAATATTGTTACCTTGAATTTATTTTACTGAGTAATCCTCTAAGACTCCTCTACACATTATTAATCTAGAAGGATTTTTAAAGTCTTTATGACAATTAATTATTGGTCTACAGTCAAATTGCATATCCCCATTAACTAGAGTTATATTTTTCCATTTTCTGATCCAAAAACTTTAGGAACAGGAAATGTTTATTTTAGAAAACAAGAACACTTCTTAAGCATTTGCTGTTAACAGTTATTTTCACATGTGCTTGTACTTATTTTACACTTGTCAGAACATAGTATTTACCTTTGAACCAAGGTTTTATAATAAGCAAGCACTTTTTTTATTTAGAAGTCACATTTTCCAAGTAGAAAAATCATTAAAAATTCAGTCCTCTGAAGGCTAATTTCTTTAAATCATTTAACCTAATTGTTTAAGGTATAGATTGGAATTTTTCTCAGCACTCTCTTGAAAACAGGTGACAGTGGAACCCTGTTAGGTTCACAAATCCTAGACTTTGATTATATAGCCCAGGCTCAAATTTTTCTCGAATGTTACGAACATTCAAAGCATTAGGAGTCTTGGTTTCATTTCTTAATTTTTTTTCTTCTGGGTATATTTGAGACTCATCTTGGATTCAAATAAATTAATAATAGTCTCATGAAACCGATAAAAATGGGAGCTCCATTGAACATGAGAGACATTGATTCGTAGTTTCTAACATCCTCCAAATGAGGAGCCCATCCCTAATTTAGATGCTTCTTTCAAAGGAGGCTCCTTTCCTTCGTTATCCATAATATAGTCACACCAGTCCTGAAAAAACATGGAACAGACTCCAGATCTTTATATTTCATACTCTAAAGTCGTACAAGCCAATCTGCATTTCCTCTAGTGGAAACTGTATAGCTGGTCATCTTTCCAGGACCCTTTTATCAAGAAACAATGCAGCTTCTACATTTGTGCTGCTTCTACACCAAAACAGCTGGAATGTATATAGTATGGTTCTGGATGCTCTTGTATACCTCACTCTTCATTTCTCACCTAACCCATGTGCTATGATTTGAATGTTTCTCCCCTGCAAAACTCATGTTGAAATGTAATTGCCATGATAACAGTATTAATAGGTGGAATATTTAAGAGGTGATTAGGGTGGGATTGGTGATGTTATAAAAGGGTAAGTTCAGCCCCTTCTTGCTCTCTCTGTCACCCTTCCACCTTCCTCTGTGTGATGATGCAACAAAAAAGCCCTTCCCAGATGCCAGCATCTTGATTTTGGACTTCTCAGCCTACAGAACTATAAGCCAATAAATTTCTGTTATTTGTTATTAGTCTGTGATATTCTGTTACAGTAGCACAAAATGGACTATGACACCATGTGTTTACACAGAAAGAAAAAAATATCATACGGTAATTGCTCCTAAATATGCAGAGAATATGTTCTGATATCCTTAGTGGATGCCTGAAACTGCAGATAGTACCAAACCTTATATATACTATGTTTTTTTTCCCATACATATGCATGTTAAAGTTTATAAGTTAGGCAGAGTAAGATATGAACAATAACTAATAATGAAATAGAAACGTAACGATGTGCTGTAATAAAAGTTATGTGACTGACACCTCTTTTTCTTCCTCTTTCTCTCAAAATATCTTAATATTTTCAAGCCATGGATAACTGAAACTGCAGAAAGTGAAACTGTAGATAAACTATTAACTCTATTTAAACAATAAAAGAATTATAATTATATTCTTGGGAAAATTAACAATTATCCAAAGTCCCTTTGCAAAGGGAAAAAAAATGCATGTATTGGAAAAAATCTCAACCACAGGGTTCCCTAAGCTTTGCAAACAACAAATAGCATCCACCTATCCATCCTCAGAGAGCAACAGTTTTACTGTTATTTAGAAAAAGCAACTATTTCAGGCTGCAGGTTGTGCACATCAGCACTTCCCAGCTCTCTACTAATATGGGAAAACTGACTATCCCTGACTTCAGTTTTTGTGAAGCTAAATGCCTGACTAGAGTTTAAACTGAGGCTAATTGGAGATCATAAAATTTTACAGCTTGCTAGAGGTGGACCACGATTTTGATTGGAAACTTTCCACCAACCAATTCTAAAAGGTGTTAATGGTGACTATTTTCTAAAACAAATCTGAAGAGTAACTAATATGATAAGACCAGAAATATATTTCTCTGGCAAGTCCCTATAAAAAGAAAGCTAGGTAATTAAATAATCTCTCAACAATATTGTTTTAGGAAACCCAATAGAGAGTTTCACAGGCCTGTTTCTTATGGGATTGCTCAATGTAGGTAAATATTATCAAACCAAAAAGTAATTTTGTAACAGAAATTCTACAGAGCCCCAATACCTTACAGAATGATGAGTACAACAGTAGAAACAAATAGAAGATAACCTAGAAAAATAAAGCGAATAACTTAATGGCGTGAGTTAGGTTAAGAAAAGCTTCCTGGAAAAAGACATCTGAATAGAATTTTAGTAGATATAGCTAGGAATTCCCAAGCAGGTAGAAGAAGGGGGACATTCCAGGCAAAGGAATCATGTGAATGCAAAGGTAGGGAGTCATGAATCAATATGTTCGGTTTTTTTGTTGTTTTTGTTTTATAAAGAGCTATAATAGGCTGGGCACAGTGGCTGTAATCCCAGCACTTTGGGAGGCTGAAGCAGGTGGATCACTTGAGCCCAGGAGTTCGAGACCAGCCTGGGCAACATGGCAAAACACTGTCTCTACAAAAACAAAAAAAATTATCCCTGTTCAGTGGTGTGCGCCTGTGGTCCCGGCTACCTGGGAGGCTGAGGCGAGAGGAGTGCTCAAGGTGGGAGGTGGAGATTACAGTGAGCAGAGATCACACCACTGCACTCCAGCCTGAGCGACAGAGAGACTCTGTCTAAAAAAAAAAAAAAAAGCTATAATAAGATCAGCTTACTAGACAATACAGTGAAATGGGGGAAGCTAGAGAAGAGAGGTGGGCAGTGGCCTCTTATGCTACGTAAGAGATTTGACATCATAAAGTAAGTTGCCAGAGTTCTGAATGAGGGCATTAGAAATAGTAATGAACAGGAAAGCATACACTTAAGAGCTGTCTGCTGTCTGGGAGGTGGAATTTACACTGAGTACTGAGTAATAGAATGAAGGGGTTGAGGGAAAGGTAAGAATCTAGGGTGAGTGTAAATCTTCTGGTTCAGGGGATAAACAACAGGAAGTCATTGAAATCTATTGGCCTATCCGCATTTTGAAATTATTTTTACTCATGTAAGATTCTGTAACATTATATGGTCATTAGGAAATATCTGTTTACTGAATTATGGAGGTATTCGAAATGTTCAAACATTTCATGCAATATCAAAAACTCAAACTGGCTGCAGTGGCTTATGCCTGTAATCCCAGCACATTGGGAGACCAAGGCAGGAGTACTGTCTGAGCCCAGGAGTTCAAGACCAGCCTGGGCAACATGGCAAGACCCCATCTCTACAAAATTTTTTTAAATTTGCCAAGAGTGGAGTGCACATCTGTGGTCTCAGCTACTTGGAAAGCTGAGGCAGGAGGATCACTTGAGCCCATAAGGTTGAGAGCTGCATTCAGTGAGCCCTGTTCATGCCACTGCAATCCAGCCTTAACAACAGAGCAAGACCCTGTCTCAAAAAAATATTATATTCATTAATGTTGCTGCTGATATCAGAAAAAATTCTAAGTATCCCACAGTAGCAGATACAAGCTTTTCAAAATTCCAACTTCTACTTTTAAAAGCTTAAATTTTAGCACTGGCAACAAATACAACTAGTTGTTTTCCCTAAAGTGATAGTATCACTGTTTATTTTCAAGAAAATGTCTGCCAAATTCCCAAGTCTGAATAATCAATTTTCTGTCACTTTTTTTTTCCAAGTGAAAAGATGGTGTTTCCATGAAAGAAAAGAAAAAGTGGCTAATTCAGCTTGCAACTCAAACAAGTGTTTTTCCAAAAGACAACTATATTTCAGCATGCAGTAGAAGTGTTTTATGGGTACATCACATTGTGTCACAAAGAATTTTTTTAAATGTGCTTAAGGGTTGAGATTTAGTAGAAAATAATTTTTACAACTTCATCAAGGACATTATTTTAGTAAAACTGTTTTTTTTTTACTACGAATGTGTGGTGGTGAAGAATACAATGACTACTAATAAAATTTGGTGCCATTGCCTTAATTCGTGCTAAGACACCAGTCATTTTACCCACCATTGGATAAAATCCACCATTTTTGCACCATCAGTGCAAATGTTAACACAGTTAACACAGTTGTTGAGGATAAACCACCAGATTCAAAAAAGTCATATAACACTTTTAATGTTTCAGAACCCCTGTTGCCCAGAATTCACATAAAAGAAGATCATCAATGGTCAATTGATGCTGATACCTGATGAATGAAAGCAAAACAGGATGTATAGCCATCTGTAGATCAGTCCCTTTGTAAGGCTAAGGTACAATTCTTTAGATGATATATTAACTCAGTCTTTATGTTTGCAGTTAAATCTTTAATTTGACAAGTTATTGCATCATTGGAAAATGCCAGCACTATGCATTCTTGTGGTGATTTTTCATCCAGCAGGTATTCAGCAATGTCAACTGTTCAAGCCTTTATTAGTCTCTCTGTGATTGTGTGTGCTCCTCTAGCCAATACAATATGATGGCTTATCCTGTAAGAAGCTTTTAAAGAGTGTATTACATCTACATTTCGGTTATTTAATTCCTTTTTTTAATAAATTCTGAATGATTGGTCCCAAAATGATACTGCAACTTTGTTGGAACCATATAAGTGTTTGAAAATGTTTTACTGCACAAGACACAATATGATAAATTATTAACATCTATAAAGCTGAACAAAAGATCACTTTCAACATATTTTTGTTGTGTATAGTTGTGCTCAGTTTCTTTGGAATAGATTTCTCCTTTTTATGAGGAATCAGATAACTTGCTGATATGTCAATGTCATCCTTTTCAGCATCTCTAGACATAGGCAATCTAGACACCAGAAAATGTGTTTTCTCTTCTCCCTTTTTAAAGCCAACCATCCACCCTATTCAGATAAAATTTTTTAATTAAAAACATTTTTGAAAAATATATTATTGCAAAACAACAAAGTAAACATAATTTTTGTTATGTTTCTGTGTAAAAGGAAAAACTTTAGGATTTAAAAATGATTTCTTGGAAGATAATGAGATTACAGAGA
The DNA here is from genome assembly GCF_000001405.40 of Homo sapiens. Classification (NCBI taxonomy): domain Eukaryota; kingdom Metazoa; phylum Chordata; class Mammalia; order Primates; family Hominidae; genus Homo; species Homo sapiens. The sequence continues at coordinate 4,212,195 of NT_167244.2, forward strand.
TTATAACAGGTATAACTGAAGATAGCTGGTAAGAGCATGGTAGAAAAGAAATAATTTCTGAAAACTACATACTTATACCGTAAACTCACTACCTTTGAAAACTCTAGAAAATACAATACACAGGCACACAATCTGTTAGGTATCAGAGAAATAGTCATCACTATTCATCACATGCCATTGTTGTCTTTGGCGAACCCTTCTGTACACTTATGAGAGTGAGAGTAAAAAAAAGGCAAATAACATCTTAATTTTATGAATATTTTTGACCTTGTTGACCCTCTAAAAGGATCCAAGGGATCTCTCCCTTCCAACATCCCCAGGAATCCTCTGATCACATTTTGAGAACTGTTGGATAAGTCAGTTAATATTGCAGGAACATAGGCTATCACCATGGGGAATAAATGAAACCAGATCTCTACCTCACACCATTACAAAAATAAATTTTAAATGAAATAAAAGGCTAAATGTGAAAAGGTAAAGGTTTAAAGCTTTGGGGGGGAAATGTAGAATAACTTTATTATCTCAAGGTAGATAGCCTAACAATACCACGTGCTGAAGCAGAAATGTGAAGAAATGGGAATTTGCATAGAATCTTGGTGGAAGGGTTAGTTTTCCCACTTATTTCAACTACTTATTTCACATATGCAGTGTTGTACAAATTTAAAGAGACAAGAATCCTACAGACAAGCAATTCTATGTTTATATGCCCTAGAGACCTGAAGACATTCTCAAATACAAAAACAAAGAAGTATGCATAAGGATGTTCATTGCAGGTTTGCTTATAATTGGTGGAAAGTCAGGGGATGCCCATCAGTGCATAAAAAAGTAAATAAAATTGTGTTGCCTTTCTACAATAAATTGTGCAACCATTAAAATAAACTAAATGTCCATATTTCACAAGGACAATTCTCACAACATAATAACAAATGATATGCACTAACTTTAAACTAGTAATTGCATCTGGTGAGGGAAAAGAAAGGTGGACCTGAAGTCAGGTGCAAACAGCACAACTGTATTTGAGTAGTGGTTGCATGACTGTTGTTCCATGTATTTTCTGTATGTTACAAATATTTACTATTAATTATAACAACATAAGATGTACTCTAACTCCTTCATGCTGCTAATTATAGAATATCTACTTTGTTGACTAAACCCTTTAGCATATATATATATATATATATATATATATATATATATATATATAGCCTATTTCTGTTAATGGTTCTTTGGATAAATAACAGTTGACTTTGTTCCTCTGCTTGGTATTTTAAAAAACCTATTAGTTTACAAATCTCTTACTAATTTTAGTTTTAATATTTGTATTGTTAAGTATTTTAAACACACAGAAAGGCAAATAAACCCCCATTACCCAAACACCCAGCTTTATTAAATCTTAGTATTTTGTCCTATTTGTTTCAATGGTTTTTTTAATAAATCAGTGACTACAATAAAATTGATACCTCTGAATCCTTCCATTTTCTTTTCACTGCCCCCAGATATAACCACCAATGTGAAGTCAGTTTTATCATTGCTATGCATGTTTTTAATATTTTTACTAAATGTTTATGAATTCTTAAACATTATGAAGCATTATGTTATAGAGTTTTTAAGTTTTATAAAATATTATCTAATACTGTTACTTTAAGAAAACCTGCAGTAACCCCTTCTGAAAAAGATTAATCACACGTAATTTGTTACATATTAAAATAACTGCTCCTAAATAGTGATGTGGCCTTGGGCAAGCTCTTTCAAGTTTCTGTGAGCTCCAGCTTTTCCTTATCTGTGTGGTAAAAGAATATGAGACTATGTCTGCGCTCTCTTTCAGATTATAAGTCTCTATAAATTATTCAACTCAAATGTCCCCATGGGTTTACTTAAAGGATAGTTTTGTCCACTTATGAACAACTGTGTTTCATCAAAATCAGAATTTACTGAATGTTCATTCATTTTAACTTTTTTAAGTGGTTTGTCACAGAATTCCTTTCAATGCTGAGATTTTCAAATATATTGCAACCATCGAGAGGACATTCTTGAATATTCACTATGAGCCTGATGCTATGCGAGGTGCCAGAGATACAAGAGGGAACTTGACAGGTACAGTCTGTCTCCCACAAAGCTTATGGCTGAGTTTTTAAAATATAATTCAAGCTTTTCAGGAATACAGTCAATCCATAAAGCAATAGGGAGAAACATTTCCAATATCAAGAGGCACTGATGAATGAATGTGTGAATAACTAAATTTTGTAACTTTTTTTGTAGACATAAAAATAAGCATTCACTGTGTCATCCTTAAATAAAATCATTGGCAGAGTGTAGCCTATAAATGTCTGGAAATACCTCACCAAAGGCTAGAAGACATTTTGCCAGAAGGAAGTAATGTTTACATTTCTATATTTTGTTTCTTTTTCCTCTACATATGCATTTTGTCCTATGTCTATGTCTCCTTCTTAATAGGCTTTGACATGAACCCAAAGCAAATGTTTCCTATTATTTTATCTATTTATTGAATATACATTGTTTTCTGAATGCTATTCCTTTCATTTACCAGTTCTAGTAGTCTGGGTTTGCTCTTATTTCTCTTTACTCTAAAATGGTTTTTTTAATCTGTAACACAGAACTTAGTGCTTGGTTATATATAGGTAGGCATTGTTTTCTAAAAACACTGGTTTACAAAATGGAATGTGCACACTACAGGGAATGTGCAAATGATCCTTGAGGATACAGGAAGGAAGTGTTAAAGTTTCTATTTATTTTGGTAACTTATAAACTTTCTATTTGTTACAGTGTGAGTTCTGGTGTATATAGTCAAGCCATATGCTAGTACATGGGATAATGTATAAATAAACATGTAAGTGTCGATAAGTACTCAACTCTTTTTTACTGAGAGGGCTTTAGGCTTTTTTTTTTTTTAAGTTTCAATACCACAGTTCAAATGTGTGTGTTGGTCTTATCTATGTAATTGTTTTGTGTGCTCTTTCAGGGAGTGGTGGTGTCTTGTGTCTCTTACTCTGTCCAAAGGACCTTGTATGTATAAATGCGAATAAATATTTATTGAACTCCACTAATAAATGATTCCATTCTTCAGACCATCAAACTAAGGACTACGCTTTGAACATGCTTTGGAAACATTTTCATTAAAGCCAAAATGTCTCAGAAATGTTTAATTAAAAAATAAAATTGGCCGGGCGCAGTGGCTCACGCCTGTAATCCCAGCACTTTGGGAGACCGAGGCTGGCAGATCACAAGGTCAGGAGTTTGGGACCAGCCTGGCCAATATGGTGAAACCCCGTCTCTACTAAAAATACAAAAATTAGCCAGGCATAGTGGCAGGCGCCTGTAGTCCCAGCTACTCGAGAGGCTGAGGCAGGAGAATCGCTTGAACCCAGGAGGTGGAGGTTGCAGTGAGCCGAGATCACACCACTGCACTCCAGCCTGGGAAACAGAGTGAGGCTCTGTCTCAAACAAAATAAATAAATAAAATTAAAAGGGAAGACAAAGATATTTTTCTTTGTACCAGTAGAAGGAAGATTTAATGAAAAATAAACTGCAATAGTAAATTTAGAAGTAATACTGAAAGAGCAACTGGGAAGTCTTAGATGAAGTTGTCACCAGCTTCTTCAAAGCAATGAAATATCCAGTTGTCCCATTTAATTCTCATTTGGTATAATTTTTCATTGATAAGAATAATTCATAATTAACCAGCTTACATATGCTTCTTAAATTTTAGTGTACATAAGAATTGCTAAGAAGTAGGCTTAAATGCAAATTCTCAGGCTCCAGCCCAGGGATCCTAATTCAGCAGTTCTAGAGGTTATTCAGAAATCTGCATTTTCATGAAGTACCCTGGATGATTCTAATGGATGTTGTCTGTAACACAACTTTCAGATAAATGTCCTGTATAAGCATATTCTATCTTGCCATTAGCCATGAGAATTTGATTAAAGAAACAAATCTAAGAACCCAACTACTAGTCTATTACTCCAACCATTCCTTCTTGCCAACTGTGATCAGAAGTATGAAAAAAACAGCCCATGTTCTTCCTTAGAGGAAGACCATATCCCAACTGTGAAATGGTCCAGACATCTTGGAACTGAATATGGATTGTGATCCTGATACCCCCAACCCTCACTGCTCTTCATATACCAGCTGAGCATTTCATAATATTTATTCGATAAACCTTTCCTTGGTCCTGAGCCTCCTTGCTTCCCGACCTACTCCATGTAGCCTGGCTACTCTTATTTCCATGAGGTGGGCTGTCTTCTGGCCCTCCCATCATCCCCAACAGATGTGAACATGAGGGACCTTGGAGCAGGGGTAGATACTCCAGTGCAAAAATAGTGGACACTCACCTCTTCTAAGACCTTTTATCAATCATTCTCTAAACACCTCTCAAACATGTCCTTCCCTTGTATTTCCTCTTTCAGTGGATTAAACCACTGTCCACTCAACTGTCTGAGTGAGAAGATTGGATTCAGTGAGTTTTCAGGTCCTACCAAGTCTATTTCAAAGTGTCATTTCAATGATTTTATTTCCTTTGCTTCTAAATAGTGGCATACATGGATATCAAGTACTGTAGTGGGTTCAAAATTGGAGAAATGGATTTTGAAGTCATCTTTTTGCAGGTACAAGAGAAGCCATATTGAGTCAGTCAGAGAAGAGAAGACAGGAAAAGTAGAATAAAATCTTTAGAATATTCAAAGCATTACACAAATGTAATGTTTTATTATTAACTGTGACTTCATTTTGGTTCCAATTCTGTCCAGAGAAATTTGAATGCTGGAGTTTTGGGAATTTTAAGGCTTTGAGCAAGGAACATTTTATGATCCTCTGCTTACCACTTGTTTATTTACAACAGAATTTCAGCAATGAAGAGAAAGTTATTTTTGTAGGAAAAAAAATCCTACAATGCTTACTTCATACAAATTAGTTGTGCCTTGGGTTCAGATTAACATACACACTCAAAAGACTTGGTGGGCTGTTATACGGCAACTTATTTATTTAGCTTTGTAGAGGAATATTGGATATGGAAACATAGCTTGTCAGCCTGACAGCATTAGACATCTTCATCAGGAGTCTTTATGTATTCTAGATGCTGATTCTTAACCCTCTCATCTCATGGGAATATGCATGGTCATAGTAGACAAGACCACAGGAGTAGGGGAGAGGCACGGGGGAGCCATTCTAGGATGGAAGAATCTCTCACATGACAGGAACCACATCTTATACCAACCCATGAGTGAGGATTCCAAGAAAACAGGCATATTCGGATTCAAGAAACACACCATAACAGAGTCCAGGGCCTACATTTCCCAACAGGTTTTCATACGGGTCTGGTCATATAGGTCCACCAAGTCTAAATGCCTGCCCGCAGTCTGCCCAGCATAGATGTAGTTCACCAACCAGGGGTCATTTCCACACTTATAAATAAATAAATAAATAAATAAATGTGATTTTTTAAAATACAGCTGACATTTCACATTTATCCAAACAGTACATTTCAAAGAAACAGTAAGTATAAGGTAAACTGGAGTTCATCTTCCCATGGGAAAAAAGAGCTTAAAACTGTTGTTAACCCTTTGACCTACCATCAAACATTGCTTACTCCCACTCAAGAGCTCATTCCAGTTAGGACACAACCTGGTGACAGCCCTTCCTGGTAGCAACTACTGAGCATTGCAAGGAGAAGAAATTGGGATGGGTGCCTATAAAGAGAAAAACTCTCTTTTTAACCTTCAAATCTAAAGAAAATCAATCCAACAAGCATTTGCTGCAAACCTAGTGCCAAGCACTGCCACATAGGAAGATGCATCTGCCATCTGTCAAGACAGACTGAGGGAGGAATGGGGGTAGAGACCAATTAGAAAATAGGAAAAAACGAGACCAGCTGGGGACAGCTGCAGCAAAGCACCCTGAGGATACTAAACACCCTCAGTATTTAGCTAGGATGGCCTAAAAGAGCTAATCTGAAAGAATTCATAAATCATATGGATGCTTCTATTATAAATTAGAGGAAAGGCAGATTTATACATCATGAAGCCTATAAGGTAAATATTATCTAGTAGTATGAACATAGCTTCACCACACAGCCTCCTAAAAATCTATGGATACTTTCCTGAAAGTACCCCTGAAGGCATTCCTCCTGGATTCTGTGAAGTAAATTAGCCCTCAAGGTGTACCCAGCAAGGGCTCAATAGAGTGCACAATAAATGCTCAACACACATCTATCTTCCTCCCCTCCCACTATCCAAGCTTCATGCCTACCTCATGAATCTCCAAGTTCCTTTCTCTCCTGTCCCTGGAGCATAGATGAATCAGAATCCCTGCTTGCCACCCCATTGGACACCTTGAAAAGAGACCCTTGGAATGGCTATGACGACACATCAGTCCTGGCTACGAGTGTAAGACCCTGGGCATCAGGAAGCCTCAGGCCATGAGCTATTGAATGTCGCTTGTCACTTTGCCCTTTGAGGACCAGAAATAAAGCTTCCAGTTCCTGTGAAATGGCAAATAGGTAGGTTCAGGCTTCCAGCTCCCTCACCCAAAATTAATTTTTGTAAAGGTAGAGAAGCAAAAGGAAGCAAGGATCTGGGGAGCTGGCAACACCAGAAATAAGTATAAAGTGTTTTTATATTTGCCAGGAGAGACAGAACTGCTGTCTTGAGCTGGTGTGCGTAGAGAATGGGCAGGGCTGCATCCTGGGAGATAAGCCACAGTGGGAGAACAGGCTGCAGGAAGACTTTTTAATTTCTGCACTATGTCCTTCCCAATCGGCTTGGGACAATTGTTGCCTCCCCTTCATACATAAACAGGCTGCAACAGGCCAGGCTACTTGTATCTTCAAGGTAAATCAGTAGGGAACAGATGAAACTAGGGGTGAGCTTTTGGGTATTCTCTTCTCCACTACTCACGACCACTGCCCCAACTCCCAGCGCTGGTGAATCCCAACGTGGAGCACCTGCCTACTCCCAACTGTGCTTTTCCTAGGAGTTGCCTGAAAGAGTAGTGGCAAATGGGGAGATCCACAGTGTTTCTGGGCTCTCTACCAGGGCTGGATCTGGAGGGACACAGACCAGTATTTGACTTTATCTCTTCCCCATTACACATTACCCCACAGACTAGCTGGTGCCCTCCTGGAGACGTGAGCTCACAGATCAACATAATGATATGGCTAAGGAACAAAAAAATTGCAAAACATAGACAACAAATTAACACCATATACTATCTAATGCAGAATTGTGAAGAAGATGAACCAAGAACTTGAAACAAAATGGCAAATATACTTAAGATAATAGAAGATACCAGCAACATAAAGCAAAACCAGTAACTCACAAAAACAAAGACAGAATATTAGATGTTAAAACTATAACAGTAGAAGTTGTAAATACTATAGATTAGACAAGTACCAGGATAAATATAGCTGAAGAATAATTTGTGAGGTAAAAGATAAGATGAAAGATAATCCCAGAAGACAGTAGGAAAGAATAAAGACATCAAAAATATAAAAGAAAGTTCAGCAAAATGTATGCTAGAAATAGAAGTATCAACATCTGAATCATAAGAGAACTCACAGTGAGAGGAAAAAAATATATACGTGAGAAAATAATGACTAATAAATTTACAATTTTTTTTTAATTATGAAAGACCTCAGAGAAAAGGGTTCAAAGGATACTTAACAGGAGCTTCAGAAAAATCCACACCTATGCTCGTTATATTGAGACAAATAAATATTTTTAAAACTTAGAAAGAAGAGTTTATCAACTGGGCACAGTGGCTCACGCCTATAATCCCAGCACTTTGGGACTTTGGGAGGTAGAGGCGGGTGGATCACTTGCGGACAGGAGTTCGAGACCAGCCTGGCCAATATGGTGAAACCCTGTGTCTACTAAAAATACAAAAATTAGCCCCGCCTGGTGGCGTGTGCCTGTAGTCCCAGCTACTCGGGAGGCTGAGGCAAACCCGGGAGGTGGAGGTTCCAGTGGGTGACAGAGTGATACCCTATCAGAAAAAAAAAAAAAAAAAAGAACAGTTTACAAAGGAGTAAGATCAGATTGATGTCAGACTTTTCAACAGCAATGAATGCAAGAATAAAATAAAATAATATTTTTATAGTAGTGAAGGAAAATAAACTGGAGTTTAGAACTTTATATGTATCAAAATTGCTATTCAAGTGAGATGGCATAACAAATTTATTATCATGCAAAGAATCCAAAGGCTCATATTTAAAACACTCTTGGACGTGGAAAAAAAAAAAAAAAAAAACACTCTTAGAGGAAGTACACAAAAAGAGAATCAAATCAAGAAATTTACAACAACAAATATAAGGGTGATTTGTCAACAAATCCAGGACCATATTTTTAAAAGAGGGTAAATGAATGTGTGTGTGTGTAATATCTACTTGGTAGGAGAATTGGCATTAGAGGGAGGGAAGTAGAAAATCAAAAGAACATAAGAGTATGCTAAAGAACTTAGGAGGCAAGATATAAATATTAAGGTAGTTAAGACATTTTAAAAGGTAAATGCTCACTGTGTTAAATTAAAGGCAACCACCATAAGAACAGAATCAGTATGTATAACTTTTAATACAGCAGAAAAAAATCAGTCTATCAAATGGAAAGCAAGAAAAGGGAAGAAACATTGTACAATAAAAACAGAATGTGAAATGAGTTGCAAAAGTAAATCTTTACTTCAGCAGTTACCAATAAAAGAACAAAGGCTCTAATAATGGAGGAAAAAGGGAACCAAATCATGTGTGATTTATAACAAATACTCTTTTTTAACTTTTAAGTTCAGGGGTAAATGTGCAGGTTTGTTTCATAGGTAAACTTGTGTCAGGGAGGTTTGTTGTACAGATTATTTCATTACCCAGGTATTAAGCCTAGTATACATTAGTTATTTTTCCTGATCCTCTCCCTCCTCCCACCTCCACCCTCCAATAGGCCCATGTGTGCAGTTCCCCTCTGTGTGTCCATGTGTTTTCACAATTTACCTCCCACTTATAAGTCAAAACATCTGGCATTTGATTTTCTCTTCCTACATTATTTTGCCAAGGATAATGGCCTCCAGCTCCATCCATGTCCCTGCAGAGGACATGATCTCATTCTTATTTATATCTGCATAGTATTCCATGGTGTATGTGTATCACGTTTTCTTTATCCAGTCTATCATTAGTGGGCATTTAGGTTGATTCCAAGTCTTTGATATTGTGAATAGTGCTACAGTGAACATATGTGTTCATGTGTCTTTATAATAGAATGATTTATATTCCTTTGTGTATGTTCCCAGTAATGGGATTGCTGGGTCAAATGGTATTTCTGTCTTTGGGTCTTTGAGGAATTGCCACACTGTCTTCCACAATGGTTGAACTAATTTACACTCCCACCAACGGTGTAAAAACGTTCATTTTTCTCCATAACCTAGCCAGCATCTGTTATTTTTTGACTTTGTAATAGTAGCCATTCTGACTGATGTGAGATGGTATCTCATTGTGGTTTTGACTTTCATTTCTCTAATGATCAGTGATGTTGAGCTTTTTTTCATATACGTGTTGGCTGCATGTATGTCTTCTTCTGAAAAGTGTTCATGTCCTTTGCCCACTTTTTAATGGTTTTTTTTTCTTGTAAATTTATTTAAGGTCCTTATAGATGCTGGATATTATACCTTTGTTGGATGCATAGTTTGCAAAATTTTCTCCCATTCTGTAGGTTGTCTGTCCACTCTGTTGATAGTTTCCTTTTTAGTGCAGAAGCTCTTTAGTTTAACTAGATCCTGTTGGTCAGTTTTGCTTTTGTTGCAATTGTTTTTGGCATCTTTGTCATGAAATCTTTGCCAGTATATCCTGAATGGTATTGCCTAGGTTGTCTTCCAGGATTTTTATAATTTTGAGTTTTATATTTAAGTCTTTAATCCATCTTGAGTTAAGGTGGATGGTGTAAGGAAGGGATGCAGTTTCAATCTTCTGCATATGGCTACCCAGTTTTCCCAGCACCATTTATTGAATAGAAAATACTTTCCCCATTGCTTGTTTTTGTCAGATTTGTTGAAGATCAGACAGTCATAGGTGTAGTTTTATTTCTGTGTTCTTTATTCTGTTCCATTGGTCTATGTGTCTGTTCTTGTACCAGTGCCATGTTGTTTTGGTTACTATAGCCCTGTATAGTTTGAAGTTGGGTAGTGTGATACTGCTAACGTTGTTCTTTTTGCTTCAGATTGCCTTGGCTATTCTGGCCCTTTTTTGTTTCACATGCATTTTTAAATAGTTTTTCTAGCTCTGGCCGGGCACGGTGCCTCAGGCCTGTAATCCCACCACTTTGGGAGGCCGAGGCAGGGGGAATCACTTGAGGCCAGGAGTTTGAGACCAGCCTGGCCAACATGGCGAAACCATGTCTCTACTAAAAATACAAAATTAGCTGGGCATGGTGGCGCATGCCTGTAATATCCCAGCTACTCGGGAGACTGAGGCAGGAGAATCGCTTGAACCTGGGAGACAGAGGTTGTGGTAAGCCGAGATCGCACCATTGCACACTAGCCTGGGCAACAAGAGCAAAAACTCCGTCTCAAAAAAAAAATAATAATAATAATAGTTTTTCTAGCTCTGTGAAGTATCTCAATGGTAGTTTAATAAGAAGAGTATTGAATCTATAAATTGTTTTGGGCAGTATGGCCATTTTAATGATATTGATTCCTCTTATCCATGAGCATGAGATGTTTTTCCATTTGTTTGTGTCATCTCTGATTTCTTTGAACGGTGGTTTGTAGTTCTCCTTGTAGATATCTTTCACCTCCCCAGTTAGCTATATTCCTAGGTATTTTATTTTTTTTGTGACAATTGTGAACGGGAGTTCATTCCTGATTTGGCTCTCAGCTTGACTGTTGTTTGGTGTATAGGAATACTAGTAATTTTTGCACATTCATTTTGTATTCTGATATTTTGCTGAAGTTGTTTATCAGCTTAAGAAGCTTTTGGGCTGAGACAATGGGGTTTTCTAGATATAGGATCATGTCATCTACAAACAGGGATAGTTTATCTTTCTCTCTTCCTATTTGGACGTCTTTATTTGTTTCTTTTGCCCAATTGCCCCAGCCAGGACTTCCAACGCTATGTTGAGTAGGAGTGGTGAGAGAGGGCATCCTTGTCTTGTGCTGGTTTTTAAGGGGAATGCTTCCACCTTTTGCTCATTCAGCAAGATGTTGGCTGTGGGTTTGTCATATATGGCTCTTATTATTTTTGAGGTATATTCCTTCAATACCTAGTTTATTGAAAGTTTTTAATATGAATGCATATGGCAAATCCTCTTAAAGCAGAAAGATATGTAAAGATTGAAATTTAAAAACAGGGAAAAAAGATTTACCTGGTGGCAAATATGACACAAAAGAAAGTTGGGCAACAGTCTCAATATGTAACAAAATAGAATTGATTTTTTTTTGGGAGGGGGACAGAGTCTTCCTCTGTCTCCCAGGCTGGAGTGCAATGGCACAATCTCGGCTCACTGCAACCTCTGCCTCCTGGGTTCAAGTGATTCGCCTGTCTCAGCCTCCCGAGTAGCTGGGATTACAGGTGTGCCACCATGCCCAGCTAATTTTTTGTATTTTTAGTAGAAACAGGGTTTCACCATGCTAGCCAGGCTGGTCTTGAACTTCTGACCTCAGGTGATATACCCGCCTCAGCCTCCCAAAGTGCTAGGATTACAGGCATGAGCTACCGTGCCCGGCCTATGCACTTTATTTATTTATTTATTTATTTATTTATTTATTTATTTTTGAGACAGAGTTTCACTCTTGTTGCCCAGGCTGGAGTGCAATGGTGCGATCCCGGTACACTGCAGCCTCTGCCTCCTGGATTCAACCGATTCTCCCTACTCAGCCTCCCGAGTAGCTGGGATTACAGGCATGTGCCACCATGCTCGGCTACTTTTGTATTTTTAGTAGAGTTGGGGTTTCATCATGTTGGTTAGGCTGGTCTTGAACTCCTGACCTCAGGTGATCCACCTGCCTCAGCCTCCCAAAGTGCTAAGATTACAAGCGTGAGCCACGACGTCCAGCCTGCACTTTATTTTTAACCTTAAATTCTATTTTGGGCCAGGTGCAGTGGTTCATGCCTGTAATCCCAGCATTTCGGGAGGCTGAGGAGGACGGATTACCTGAGGTCAGGAGTTCGAGATCAGCCTGGCTAACATGGTGAAACGCCATCTCTACTAAAAATACAAAAAGATTAGCCGGTCATGGTGGCACGCACCTGTAATCCCAGCTACTCGGGAGGCTGAGGCAGAAGAATCGCTTGAACCTGGGAGATGGAGGTTGCAGTGAGCCAAGACTGTGCCACTGCACTCCAGCCTGGGCAATAAGAACGAAACTCCATCTCAAAAAAAAATAAAAATAAAAAAAATAAAGTGCATAAAGGACAAAAGAAAAGATGTTCATATAACTTTTAAAGAAACAAGAAGATATAGTAATCATAAATATATATAAACTCAACAATACAGCCTCACAATTTATAAAGCAACAAGTGAAAGAACTACAGTTAGAAGTTGAGTTTTTTAAAAATACATTTGATGATTTTTACAAACCCTCTCTCAAAAACTGGTAGATAAACTAGACCAAAAAGAAAAAAAAAAAAAAGCAGAGTTCTTGAAGGGCAAAATAATAAAATTATATAAGTTCAAGCTAATTAATAAAACCTGAATAAATAAGAAACTGATAGACTCTCTCACATTAAAAATGACCAAAGAGACATGAAAACTTACTGAAATGCTTGATTCTGGATTGCAGGACAAGAGACTGGGAGTGGCTGGAGTTATAAGGTTCTTTATTGGGAAAACTGGTAAAATTTGAATATGTACTGTGGATTAGCTAATATTATATCCAAGTTAAATTTTCTTAATATGACTGTTTTTCTGTGTTTATGTAAGAGAACAGCCTTGTTCTTAGGAAATACATTGAAATATTTAGCAGGAAAGGGGCATGTGTGTATGTAACTCCAGACTTCCTAACCATTTTAGAGTAAACCATTTTTTCTCTCTAATGTTTTTTCATAACCATTTTAGAGTAAGTCCCTAAAATGGACTTAGGAATATTAATGTTTTTTAGGAAAAAAACAGAGAGGGAAGCAGAGACAGAGAGAAAAAGAAAGCAAATATGACAAAATGTTGCAAATCATTGAATTTGGACAAGTGTACGTAAGAATTCTTTGTACTACTCTTCTAAAATTACTTCAAAATAAAAAGTTTTTAAATGTCACAAGTAACCTGTGAGTTAAAAGAAAAATATAAAGAATATGTAGAATTAAATAAAAATTAAAACACTGCATATCAAAATGTGTTAGATATGATTAAAGCAGAACTTAGAAGGAAATTTTTTACCTTTAAATACACTTACTAGGAAACACAAAAAAAGACCAAAATCAATAAGCTGAGTGTTCAACTCAAACGCTAGGTAAAGAGGAACAGAATACACCCAAAGGAGGAAGGAAATAGTAAAGATAGTCATAAATGAAATAGAGAACTAAAAACAATAAAATAGATGAACAAAAACAAAAGCTGCCCTTTGAAAAGACATTTCTATTTATTATTCCAGGAAACAGAATGAAGAACAAAATCTGCCTAGGTTATTGTTTAGAGAAATTTTTATTACAAAAACAAACAAGGAAATACAAGAAAGGCAAGTTTTACGTCCATGCTTTATAAAAGTAAATACAACAACCCAAGTAAAATATTAACTAAATAACACCAACAGTAAATGTGTAACTATAGGATGAACAAATAGGGTTTATCCCAGGAATGCAAAGATGTTTCACATTTTAAAAATCTCTCAATATAATTCACTATATTAGGAGATTAAGAAGGAAAATACAATGAAATGAGTCAATTCTGATAAACTATTTTTTAAATGTAAAAAACCATTTATGTTTAAAAAATAAACTTTTAGAAAACCAGGAATAAAAGGAAACCTACTAATTTAGTAAAGGTTGACAGCAAAGACTTCTGGAAAAATTGAGTAGACATACTTTTTCCTATTCATCTCACTAAGTACAACTAAAAACTCTGGACATTATATATATATAAAACAAACATAAGAAGACTCTAAAAGGTGGAAATGAGAAGGCAGAACAGCTAGAATCTCAGGATCTGAGGAATGACATACTAGTGAGTTCCCTGGGCTTTCTTTTTGCCACATATATGCTGGGCTTGGAGCTGAAGAAAGTGACAATTTGGAAAGACCAACTGGCACAAACAAACAAACAAACAGAAAAAGCCCCAACAACACTTACAACAAAAGCCCTGATATCACTAGCCAAAAGACCAAGACAGAGGCAGGCAAGCCTGTCAAGCCTTAGAAAGTAACTGTTCAGTTCTAGGCAAATACCATAGCAATAACTGTGACTCTACTGCCATTCACACCAGAAAGACCAAGTGGGAGACCTAAACTTTCACCCTCTTGAAGCTGTAACAAGGTGCTCCAACATCACTCTGCAGTGGTATCCAAGAAGACCAATTAGGAAGCTAAGAATTTCATTTCTGCAAGCCAGTAATGGGGCCCCCTCTCTAAGATGTCAATGGAGATGGGGGCGGGGGGAGAACACCTGCCCAGAAATAATGAAAATGGCTAAAAGAAGTTATCTAAACAGAATGGAAATGATAAAATAGGAACCTTGGAACATCAAGGAAGAAGATAGAACAAGGTAAGCAAATAGATGGGTAAATACAATAAATTTTTCTTCTCCTCTTAAGTTTTCTAAAGTATGTTTGATGGTTGAAGCCAAAATTATAACACTGATGTGGTTCTAAATGTATGTAGAGGAAACATTTAAGACAATCGTATTTTCAGTGAGGAGGATAAAGGGATGGGACATAAATTAGGAAGGTAAGATTTTTATTATTTACTCAAAATGGTAAATGATGACTCCAGCAGACTGTGACAAGTTACATGTATATGTAATACTTAAAGCAACCACTTAAAAGTTATGCATCAATACACTCAAAAACACTGTAGATAAATAAAACTGGCGTTCTAAAAAATGCCCAAGTAAGCCACAGAAAGTCAGAAAAGAGTAAACAGAGATGAAAACTGGAGAGAACAAACAAAATAAATGAAAAACAATTAAGCCCTTCATGTTACTACAGGTTGGATTGTGTCCCACAGAATCCCATGTTGAAGCCCTAACCACCAATGGGACTATATTTGGAGATAGGGCCTTTTACAGAAGTAATTCAGGTTAAATGAATTCATAAGGGTAGGGCCATGATTCAATAGGATTAATTCAATAGGAAGAGAAACCAGGGTATGCTCTCTTGCTCTTTCTCCCTCCCAGCCTTCCTCTCTCTTTCTCTCTCACTCTGCCCCCAGAAGATGGCAACTCTCTCTATAAGCCAGGAAGAGCCCTTACCAGAAGCTGACCATGCTGGCGCCTTGATCTCAGACTTCCAACCTCCAGAACTGTGAGAGAATATATTTCTGTTGTTTAAGCCACCTAGTTTTATTTTGTTATGGCACCCCAAGCTAATACATATATCAATAATTACATTATTCCTAATACAAAGAAATGATAAATTCTTGAGGTGGTAGATGCCCCAATTACTCTGATTTGGTCATTGCACATTGTATGCCTGTAACTAACATCACATGTACCTCACTAATATATACAACGGTTGTGTACCCATAATAATTAAACATAAAAATTAAGAAAAAAAATTACACTAAATGCAAATGATCTAAATACCTCAATTAAGAAACCCAGTTCAGGCCAGGCATGGTGGCTTACACCTGTAAACCCAGCACTCTACAAAAAAAAACAAACAAAAAACAAAAACAAAAACAAAAAAAAACCCAGTTCAAATATAACAATATAGGCCAGGCTCAGTGGCTCTCAGCACTTTGGGAGGCTAAGCCAGGTGGATAATTTGAGGTAGGTCAGGAGTTCGAGACCAGCCTGGCCTACATGGTGAAACCCCGTCTCTACTAAAATACAAAAATTAGCCAGGCATGGTGGTGTGCACCTGTGGTCCCAGCTACTCAGGAGGCTGAGGCAGGAGAATCGCTTGACCCTGGAAGACAGAGGTTGCCGTGAGCAGAGATTGTGCCGCTGCACTCCAGCCTAGGTGACAAGATGAGACTTTGTCTCAAAAAAAACACAAAACAAACAAAAACAACAATAAAACCACACAAATATAACAACATAGGCAGGTTAAAAGTAAAAGGATGGAAAAAGACACAACATGTTTTCCTTAATTAGAGGAATACAGGAGTGAGTGTACTACTCTCAGATAAGGTAAACTTCAGAGCCAAAACAAAAAAAATTACCAGAGAAAGATAAGGACGTTTTATAATAATAGAAGGGTCAGTCTATCAAGAAGACATTGCAGTCAGAAATGTTTATGCCCAAAACACCAGAGCTGTAAAATATGTGAAGCAAAAACTGACGGAACTGAAAGAAAAAATAGAAAATCCACAATTATAATTGGAGACATCAACACAACTCTCACAACTATTAATAAAACTAGAAAGAAGGCAGGGAGTGGTGGCTCAGGCCTGTAATCCCAGCACTTTGGGAGGCCGAGGGGGGTGGATCACGAGGTCAGGAGATCGAGACCATCCTGGCTAACACGGTGAAACCCCGACTCTACTAAAAATACAAAAAATTAGCTGGGCGTGGTGGCGGGCGCCTGTAGTCCCAGATACTCGGGAGGCTGAGGCAGGAGAATGGCGTGAACCTGGGGATGGAGCTTTCAGTGAGCTGAGATCCTGCCACTGCACTCCAGCAGCCTGGGGGACAGAGCAAGACTCTGTCTCAAAAAAAATAAAAATAAAAAAATAAAAACTAGAAAGAAAATCAGCAAAGATGTAGAAGAGCTCAATAACACCATCAACCAACAGGATCAAATCCACATTTACAGGACACTCCACCCATCAATAGCAGAATACACATTGGCTCTTTTTTGTTGTTTTTCTTTTCCGGTTTTACTAGGTGCAAGGGGTACATATGCAGGTTTGTTACATGGGTAAATTGCGTGTCACAAGGGTTTGGTGTACAGATAATTTTAAAAGAATTTAAATTATACAAACTTTTCTCTGACTACAATGGAATCAAATTAGAAATCAATAACGGAAAGACAGCAGAGGAAAAATCATCAGCATAATACCCGATAGGTGCTTTTTCAATCATCACTGTCCTCCCACCCTCCACCCTCAAATAGGCCCCAGTGTCTATTTTTCCCATCTTTGTGTCCATGTGTATGCAATTAGCTGGTTTTTTGCTCCTGCGGTAATTTGTTTAGGATTATGGCCTCCAGTTCCATCTATGTTGCTGCAAAGGCCATGATCCCATTTTTTATAGCTGTGTAGTATTTCATGGTGTATATGTACCACATCTTCTTTATCCAGTGCACTGTTGATGAGCACTGGATAAAGAAATCTAGGTTCATTCCATGTCTTTGCTAACGTGAATAGCAGTGTGATGAACATGCATGTGCATGTGTCTTTATGACAGAACAATTTATATTCTTTTAGGTATATACCCAACAATGGAATTGCTGGGTTGTATGGGAATTTTGCTTTAAGTTCTTTGAGAAATCTCCAGACTGCTTTCCACAGTGCCTGAACTAATTTACATTACCCCCAATAGTGTACAAGTGTTCCTTTTTCTCCACAACCTTGTTAGCACCTGTTGTTTTTGACTTTTTAACAATAGCCATTCTGACTGGGGTGAGATGGTGTCTCATCATTGTTTTGATTTGCATTTCCCTAATGATTAGTTATACTGAGCATTTTTTTCACATGCTTGTTGGCCGCACAGAATATACATTCTTTTGAAGTGTCCATGCAACATATACCAAGTTGGACTATATCCAGGGCCATAAAACAAATATTGATAAATTTAAAAGAATATAAATTATACAGAATGTGTTCTCTGACTACATTGGAATCAAACTAGAAATAAATAACAGAAAGATGACAGAGGAAAGTCAAGAAACTAAGCGAAAACTTTTAAATACTCTACGAGTCAAAAAATAAATCTCAAAGGAAATTTAAAAATACACTGAATTGAAAGAAAATAAGAATACAACATATCAAAAATTTCTAGGAGAGACAACCCACAGAATGAGAGAAGATATTTGCAAACTACCCCTCTAACAAAGGATTAATAACTAGAATATATAAGGAGTTCAGACAACTCTATAGGAAAAAAGAGTTCAATAGTCCAAACAAAAAATGAGCTGATCTGAATAGACATTTCTCAAAAGAAGACATACAAATGGCAATCAGGCTTATGAAAGGTGCTCAACATTATGAATCATCAGAGAAATGCAAATCAGAAGTTCAATGAGATATTATCTCACTTCAGTTAAAATAGCTTGTATGCAGGCTGGACACGGTGGCTCACACCTGTAATCCCAGCACTGAGGGAGGCCGAGGCGGGCAGATCACCTGAGGTCAGGAGTTCAAGACCAGCCTGGCCAATATGGTGAAACCCTGTCTCTACTAAAAATACAAAAATTAGCTGGGCATGGTGGGCCATGCCTGTAGTCCCAACTACTTGGGAGGCTGAGGCAGAAGAATCGCTTGACCCTGGGAGATGGAGGTTGCAGTGAGCAGAGATTGGGCCACTGCACTCCAGCCTGGGCAACTGAGTAAGACTCCATCTCAAAAAAAAATGGCTTGTATCCAAAAGACAGGCAATAACAAGTACTGGTGAGTATGTGGAGAAGGCTTTGTACACTGTTGGCAGGAATATAAATTAGTACAACCACCATGGAGAACAGCTTGGAAGTTCCTCCAAAAAAATTAAAATTGAGCTACCATATGATCCAGCAATCCCACTGCTGGGAATATACCCGAAAGAAAGAAAATTAGTATTTCAAAGAGATATCTGCACTCCTATGTTAATTGCAGCATTGTTTACAATAGCTAAGACTTCGGAGCAACCTAAGTGTCTATCGACAGATGAATGGATAAAGAAAATGTGGTACATACATACAATGGAGTACTATTTAGCTAGAAAAAAGAATGATATCCAGTTATTTGCAACAACATAGATGGAACTGGAGATCATTATGTTAAGTGAAATAAGCCAGGTACAGAAAGACAAACATGACATGTTCTCATTTATTTGTGGGATCTAAAAATCAAAACAATTGAACTAATGGACATAGTGAGTAGAAGGATGGTTACCAGAGCCTGAGAAAAGTAGTGGATAGCTGAGCGGGGAGGTGGGGATGGTTAATGGGTACAAAAAAAGTAGAAAGAATGAATATGACCTACTATTTGATAGCACAATAGAGTGACTATAGTCAAAAATAACTTAATTGTATATTTTTAAGTTACTTAAAGAATGTAATTGAATTGTTTGTAACTCAAAGGATAAATGCTTGAGGGAATGGCTACCCCATTCTCCATGATTTGGTTATTTCACATTCCAGGCGTGTATCAAAACATCTCATGTACCCCATAAACATATACACCTACCATGAACCCACGAAATATTTTCAAAATAATAAAAAAAATTATAGGACACAGCTAAACCAGTGCTGAAAGGGAAATTTATAGCATTAAATGCATACATTAAAAAGAAGAAAAACTGGGTGCTACTTGGGAGGCTGAGGCAGGAAAGGATCACTTGAGCCCAGTAGTTCGAGGCCAGCCTGGGCAACATAAGGAGACCTTGTCTCTTTAAAAAAAAAAAAAAGTACACAAATTAATAATTCAAACTCTCATCTCAAGAGCCCAGAAAAAGAAGATCAAAATACATCCAAAGAAGAAAGGAAGGCCGAGCACTGTGGCTCACGCCTGTAATCCCAATAGTTTGGGAGGCCAAGGCAGGTGGATCACTTGAGCTCAGGAGTTAGAGACCAGCCTGCCCAACATGGTGAATCTCTGCTTCTACTAAAATTACAAAAAATTAGCCAAATGTGGTGGCAGGCGCTTGTAGTCCCAGCTACCTGGAAGGTTGAGGCAGGAGAATCACTTGAGCCCAGGAGGCGGAGGTTGTAGTGAGGTGAGATTGCACCACTGCACTCCAGCCTGGGCCACAGAGTGAGACACAAAAAGTTGCTTCTTTGAAAAGATCAGTCAACTGATGAACCTCTAGCAGACTACACTGACAAAGAAGAAAGAAAGAATATAGAAATGTCCACAGGGAATATCCCTACACACCCTGCAGACATCGGAAAAACATAAATGGTGCTGGAACAATTGAACATTCAAGGGCCATAGGAGGAGAGAAAGACAACAAGGAGGAAAAGAAGGAGGAGCAGCAGTTTAATCTAAGACTCATACCTTCTGCAAAAATTGACTCAATATGGATTACAAACTTCTATGCAAAATGTAAAACTATAAAACTTTTAGAATAAGATAGGGGAAAATCTTCTGAATCTAGATCTGGGCAACAAGTTCTTAGATTTGACACCAAAAACATGATCTGTAAAATGAAAAAATGGATATATTAGACCTGATTAAAACTAAAAACTGTTGCTCTGTGAAAGACTTGTAAAGGAATGAAAAGGCAAGCTACATAATGGAAGAAAATATTTGCAAATCATGTATCCAACAAAGGACTAGTATCTAGAATATATAACAACTTATCAAAACTCAGGCCAGGCCCCCTGGCTCATGCCTGTAATCCCAGCACTTTGGGAGGCTGAGGCGAGTGGATGACTTGAGGTCAGGAGTTTGAGACCAGCCTAGCCAACATGGTGAAACTCTGTCTCTACTAAAAATACTAAAAATTAGCTGGGCGTTGTGGCACACGCCTGTAATCCCAGGAGGTAGAGGTTGGGGTGAGCCGAGGTCATGCCACTGCACTCTAGCCTGAGTGACAGAGTAAGACTCCATCTCAGAAAAAAAAAGAAAAAAAATCAACAGTTTGAAAAAAATTAATTAGAAAATGGGAAAAATTCATGAAGAGACATTTCATTAAAAGGATATACAGATGGCAAATAAGCACATGAAAAGATGTTCGATATCATTAGCCATTAAGGAAACGCAAATTAAAACCACAATAAGATCTCACTACACACATATTAGAATGGCTGAAATAAAAAATAGTGACAATAAGCCAGGCGCAGTGGCTCATGCCTGTAATCCCAGAACTTTGGGAGGCTGAGGCAGGCGGATCATGAGGACAGGAGATTGAGACCATCCTGGCTAACATGGTGAAACCCCATCTCTACTAAAAATACA
The DNA here is from genome assembly GCF_000001405.40 of Homo sapiens. Lineage (NCBI taxonomy): Eukaryota > Metazoa > Chordata > Mammalia > Primates > Hominidae > Homo > Homo sapiens. Next base: position 4,233,363 of record NT_167244.2, read on the forward strand.
AAAAATTAGCCGGGCGTGGTGGCGGGCGCCTGTAGTCCCAGCTACTTGGGAGGCTGAGGCAGGAGAATGGCGCGAACCCGGGAGGTGGAGCTTGCAGTGAGCCAAGATCGCACCACTGCACTCCAGCCTGGGCAACAGTGCAAGACTCCATCTCAAAAAAAATAAAAAAAATAGTGACAATACCAAATGCCTGTGAGGATGCAGTAAAACAATCACTCGCACATTGCTGGTGCAACCACTCTGGAAAACACTTTGACAGTTTATTTAAAAAACTAAAAATGCAACCACCATACAATTCAGCAGGTACACTCCTGGGCATTTGCTCCAGAGACATTAAGACTTATGTCCACACAAAAACTTATATTCATATCAGCCAAATCTGGAAACAACCCAGATGTGATGGACAGATGGCTAAACTAACTGTGCTATACCCATACCATATAATACAACTAGGCAATAATAAATTATTGATATATGCAACAACCTTGTATGATCTCCAGAGAAATACATTGAGAGAAAAAAAAGTCAATCCCAAAAGTGTATATACTATATGTTTCCATTTATTAATCATTTGTTTTAAAATGACAAAAAAAAATTTGTCTTGAAGTGACAAAGTCATAGAAATGGATAAGAGATTAGTGATTGCTAGACATTAAGGAGGGTATGGGATGGTAGGGAAGTGGGTGTGTCTAGAAAAGGGCAAGGTGAAGAATCCTTGTGATCATAGAAGTGTTCTGTATTGTGGCTGTATCCATGTATCCTAATTGTGATATTGTACCATAGTTTTGCAAAATGTTACCATCAAGGGAAACTGGGTAAAGGATACACAGGATTGTTTTTATTATTTCTTACCACTGCATGTGAATCTACAATATACAGCAAAATTTATACTTAATGGAGAATATTTAGGTTTATTTCCTTTAAGAGTAATGCTCATTATCACCCTACTGTTTGACACAGCATTGAAGATCCTAGTCAACAACATGAAAAATAAAACACTAAGGATTAAGAGGGAAAACACAAAACAATGCTCGCAGATGATACTATTATCTACCTGGAAAAAGAGAGAGACAGAGAGAATATCAATAACAACAATGACAACAACAACAACAAAAACCCCACTAAAACCAATAAGAGGATCGAGCAAGGTTGTCCCATATAAGATCAACTTACAAAAATTATTAATTTCTAATATTTGAAAATCATATATCAGTATTTGAATATCATATATCCAATAAAGGGTTAATATTCAGAATATGTAAAGAACTCATAAAACCCAACAATAATTGTTTATACAAACAGTTAAAAAGGGGGCAACAAACTTCAACAGACATTTTTCCAAAGATGATATACAAGTGGCAAACACACATATGAAAAGATGCTCAGCATTACTTATTATTAGAGAAGTGCAAATTAAAACCATAACATCATCTAATTCTCATTAGCATGGCTACTATAAAAATGAAAGGAAAAAGGAAAGAAGGGAGGGAATGAAGGAGGGAGCAAATGAAGGAGGAAAGGAAAGAAGGAAGGAAGGAAGGAAGGGAGAGAGGGAGGGAAGAAATAAGTGTTGGTGAGGATGTAGAGACATTAGAACCTTTATATGCAATGTTCGTGGGATTGTAAAATGTGTAACTGCTATGGGAAACAGTACGGCAGTTCCTCAAAAAATCAGTAGTAAAACTACTATATGACCCAAGAGTCCACTTCTGGGTATAAATGCAAAAGAATTGAAAGCAGGGACTTAAGCAGATATTTTCCCCCATATTCATAGCAGCACTATTCTCGATAGCCAAGAGGTGGAAGCAACAAAGATGTCCATAGACAGATGAATGGGCAAACAAAATATGGCATATACATACAGTAGCTTATTATTCAGCCTAAAAAGGAAGAAAGCACTCTTACATGCTGCAACAAGTATGAATTTTAAGGACATTAAGCTAAGTGAAATAAGCCAATCGCCAAAAGACAAAAACTCCATGATTGCACTTGTACAGGGTATCTGAAGTAGTCAGATTCATAGAAACAGAATGTAGAGTGATAGTAGCCAGGGGCTAGAGGAAGAGAGAAATGAGGAGTTGTTGTTTAATGGGTGTAGAGTTCTGGTTTTGCAAGGTGAAAAGGAGTTCTGGAGATTGGTTGCACAAAAATGTGAATATACTTAACACTGCTGAGCTGTACACTTCAAAGTGGTTAAGACGGTAAATGTTATTTTTTTAACCACAATTTTTTAAATTAGATACATTCTTCTACATCAGAAATTACTGATTCAAAAGTAGAATTGCAATAAGATACCAATCACAATAGCAGCAAAAGCTACAACATGCCTAAGAATTAACTGAGCATACTCAGGACTACTATGAAAAAGTAAAGTTTAAAAACCATAATAAAGAGCAAACAAAATGATTTCAATAAATGAGAAAACATCCTGTTTTTGCATGGTATGATTTAGTAATAAAAACAAGTCAGTTAACCCCAAATTTCTATAAATTCAGTATAACCACAATCAAAATTCAAGTGGGGAAGACAGAACTAGAAGTGAGTGTCCTCCCAAACTCCCCAGTAGGAAACTACAAACTTAGTTTCTGTTGCTACTATGCGCTTGTCATTGTCCAAGGCCAAAAGAAGCCCAGATTTTGCACCTCTCTCTCCACCCCACAACATTGACGTTTTTCCTTCTTGTTGTGAATGTACTTCCTGTCCTCCATCTGTCCTTCTGGACCCACTCTCAATACTTCTGCACCTGGGGTCTGCCTCAGGTGCTGACCTGCATGACATTGAATGGCTCCCATGCTCCCTGGCTTCTTCTTGCTTCCAGCATCAGCCTAAGAGCAGAGGGAAGAGGGGAGTGAGGTCAGTGTTTCTAATCCCTTGGCTTCCTCCCTACAAGGTCACCTTAAGCTGTTGTGTCCCTTGACTGAAGGGCACTGCCCTTGGCAAGGTGGTGACTGTACAGGGCTTGCTGTCCTTCTGAGTCCTGATAACCCCTTCTGTCCCTGGCCTCTTTGGACCTTGGGGTAGTAACAGCTATCCTCCACCCAGTTCTTTGTAAATACTTTGCTAATAAATAAACTTTCCTTGAAATGTCCTATTTCGAGTATGCCATCTGTTTTCTGTTGAGACTCTGATACAATAAAAGCCATTTCTTTATTCCCTGCCCCAGACCAGCACGGCCAGGGGCCTCTTGGAAGCCTCATATGAAATGGAAGAGGAAGGGTCTGGAGAAACAAGGAGCCCCCCATCTGGGAGTAGTCTCTATAGGTTTGGGGCCTCTCCACTCTCTGAAACCCCTGGAGACTGGTCTGGCCAAGTAGTGGCAGGAAGCACCACGGAGAAATCCCCCATGCCTTGCTTCAAGGCAGTTGGAGGGCTCTTGGGAATGACAGACACTCAAGCCAAAAAAAAAAAAGGATTTGAGGATGGGGTTGAACTCCACCCTCGTTTTTCATCTGATTTGCCCAATTTTACTTTGGAAAGAGAAAAACTTGAGAAAATGGCCTAAAGATAATTTTCATAAATAGACATTGGGATTAAATGTCAATCTTGTCTGTTTCTTTCACATGCATGTGTTCGTGGGTAGGGAGGCAAAGAGAACCTGGAACCTAGGAACATGCTCTCCCTCAGGGAAAAAAAAAATGCCAAGGATACCACCTCCCGTGGTGTATTTGAGATTTATTCTCATTGTCTTTAATGGTCAAAAGAAGAAGCTCAAATGTGGGCTCAACGCGTTTCTCTAAAATATTGTTATCTGCCCCAAGTGTTGAAGGAACTCCCTGCACTGTGTGTGCCCTTGTTAACACAGGCCCAGTTCTTTCATGGGAGGGGAGGTGGACTAGATGACCTTTAAAACCAATTCTAGCTCCAAGTTCAGCTTTTAAAACAACAAGACATTGAAGGGCGAAAACAATTCTTTGTGCAGCTTGGATTATGTATAACCCGAAAGTCCAGCTCTCTCTCTCTTCCCCCGCTCCCCTCCCTCCCTCTCTCTATGTCCCTCTCCTTCTTTCTCCCACTCCACTTCTCTCCTCTCACCCTTTTGCTCCCTCTCTCTTACTCTCTTCCACTCCTTCTCTTTTTTTCCTCTCTTTCTCTCACATGTGCTCAAGTGCACACACACACACACACACACACACACACTCCTTTTTTGGCAATCCATTATGTTTACATTCCATTCTCCTCATGCAGCATCCATTCTCTTCTCCTCATCCTCCTACAATTGGTGCACCATCACCCTTCTTCCACCTTCCTTTCAAGTACCACTCATTCCCCTGTGTAAGAACTCCCCTTTCTACCTATAGTATTCTGACTTTCTGGATCCTAGCAGACCTACATATACTTTTCCCTATTTCTTACCTGGAAGGGGACAGCCTTTCCTATAAAACAAAAAACCTACAAAGTTAGGGCAGAGAAAAGCCTGCACTGGAAATCTCTAGAAAAGGAACTGGAAGCCGTCCCATTAGCTAACTCTCTACTTCCTTTCTCTGGGATCCTGTCACTTTGATTCCCACTGCTGTGACTAGAACTAGACCCTTCAGATCTGCAGCTTCTCCTTTAAAACTGTCCAGATAGGCCTAGTGCGGTGGCTCACGCCTGTAATCCCAGCACTTTGGGAGGCTGAGGCAGGTGGATCACTTGAGGTCAGGAGATCGAGACCAGCCTGACCAACATGGTGAAACCGCATCCCTACTAAGAAAATACAAAATTAGCCAGGCGTGGTGGTGCACGCCTGTAATCTCAGCTACTTGGGAGGCTGAGGCAGGAGAATCGCTTGAACATGGGAGGCAGAAGTTGCAATAAGCCGAGATCACGCCATTGCACTCCAGCCTGGGCAACAAGAGCAAAACTCTGTCTCGAAAAAAAATAAATAAATAAAATAAAAATAATAAATAAAACTGCCCAGATATAGACAAGGCCCAAAGCCCCCCATTCCTAGACTAAACTAGAATTTCAAAAGGAATTTGCTTTGTCAAACAAACAAAAATAAAAACAAAAACAGTGAATAGAAAAAAATGAAAATGAAACATAAAAATGGTAAAATGTAGAGATTAAGTTCCTTTCACTGACTTCTTCTGTTAACCCCTTCCAGAAGAGATGCTCTAATTCCAAGGATGCTTCTGAAGAAATTATGGAGGTGTTCCAAATCAACTCATTTCTTGGTTTCTTTTTCTTACCCATATTCTAGTATCTAGCTCTAATTCCAAAAACAATTCCACACCCTAGGTTTCTGTGTCCAGCAGGTGTCGCCCTTCGTGGGACAACAAACCACCAGCCAGCATCCTCTCTTCCTTAGGGTGGAGTCCATTCCCCCAAAGGGCTCTCCTTGGTCTTGGGGTAGAAGGGAATGGAACGGTGGCTCTGAAGAGATGTGTGCTCACCAGCATGAGGGTCTTCAGAATAAAGTAATCTGCTACTTCCAGCTCAGGTAGACAAACATCCTACAGAAATCTGTTCTTTGACCTTGGACAAGTCACTTAAATGTCTCTGAGCCTCACATCTTTTGTCTGTAACATAGAGGGAAACAATCTGTCCCTTGTGTGGTTATTGTGAGAAGAGAATGAGCTACAAATATAAAGGTCTGAGACCAGTGCCTAAGACATAATAATCACTCAAGCTATGTTCCCTTCTGCATTCAGGGTATGAAAGAAATAACTGTCTAGAACTCAATCTGGAGTTAAGCTCTGTCCCCTGAATCCTGAGGGGTATGAGGGGTCTGCCTTACGGTTGTGATGAGGATCAAAGCACCTGGTACAATGCCTGGCCAGAAAGTTGAATAATCGAATATAGCTAACGTCACTATTGCAGGCTGGCTATGTGCCTGGCGGTGTTCTTAGCCATTTACAAGTATGAACTCATTTAATCCTCATAAGATCCTGTATGAGGTGAGTAAGCTGTTAATTCCCTTCCTTGCCCATACTCTGTGACTCCAACCCACCACAGTTGAATTTCTCCTTATGAATTATAAATCAGAAAACGGCCCCAAATTCTGTCATGTCTAAGTGGGAAAATGGAAGAAGGCATTGATTTCTCCCCTACTCAAGCAGAAGAGAATTAACCTCAGTCCCTGCTTTGCCCATATTCCTTCCCCAGGGCCCCAGGAAGAAGACATGGAAAAACAATATTTCCACCAAAGTTTATTTCTCTGAAACAATCACCAGTTGCTGTCCTCTATGGCACACTGAGAGCCCCAGGAGGGTCTTTAACTCCCTTCCTCAGATTATATTCATCCCAGAAATATAGCCTTGGACAATAATTTGGTTACAGCATAGTCCCAGGAATGAGGTCCCCCAAATTGCTAAGTTTTACATAGGGGAGACTGGGAAATTCAAAGAATTGGATGGAGAAACCATAGGATCCAAGATAATGTCAGGGGGTTGAAGATGTTGGAGAGGCATGGTAGCATCATTGAGTTTGAATCTCCTTCTCACTTGGAGTGGAAGTTGTAGGATTCTGCCTCTAGGAAATGTGCCATCCTACAGAATAAATAAAAGGGAGATAATGAGGCTTCAACCCAACTTGCCCCCATCGTTTGTCACTGTAACCATCCCATGCCTTAATACAGTGATACTGAAAACTCCAGGGCACCAACAACTAATACAAAGGAAGCACCTTCAGCCTCCTCTCCACAGACATCCCACTTGGTAGAAGAGGAGGATGCTCCTTCCTGCTCTTAATCCTAGCAATGGCAGCTTAAATCATGCCCTTGCCTAGATCCTCATGGAAGCTCACCCATATAATAATCAAGATTAGTTGAACCCAACACTGACCCCTCTAACCCGCACCCCTACCAAAGGGCAAGTAGGGAAACAGACCAACAGAGATGTTACCTTCTGAATAATTGGACCCAGGAAGAGGAGTGTAACCTAAGAGAGGAAGATACTTGATTATACCAGTCTTTGTGGATGAAAATATCTAGCAGTATTCATAGCAAATGCAGTAGGAAGGAGAGAGTTAATCACAAACAGAAAGTAAGCAGAGAGTGGGACCAAGAGTGGGGATGGGAGTTCAGCGAGTCACTCACTAGAGTGGCCAGCTCTCCGCCAGCTGATCACACCAAGAGAGAAGATGATGAGGCCCAGGCCCAGAGTCACTGCAGACACAGAAACCTTCAGGGTCTGCATGGGGGACAGCCCAGGTGCTGCAAAAAATAGAAACTTACTTGACCCAGTTTCTGTTGCTCACCCCCAGGGCAATTCCATTTATTGCAGCCACCTCTCAGTGGGTTAAAAGGTCCTTTATCCCAGCTCCAAGGGTCTAGCTCACACCACCCACTCCCAAGAAAATGATCTTTCTCAAATCAAACCCTCGTCCCATGGACCTCTACTCCTAGAGTAAGCCTGGGGAATCCATCTCCCCAGAATTAGCATCCTGGCTTCCAGGTCCTCTCTAATACAGTGGGGCCTCTCAAGGCATCCTCTTTCCTTCCTTTACCTCAAAGCCACCCTTATCAGGATAAAGGGCTCCTCACTGTCCTCTCCATTGCCCCCACGGTAACAATGTTTGCTTCCTTACTTTCTCCAACTGAGCAGCTTCCTATTACACTGTCTTACCACATGTCTTAACCTCCAGTGGATCCATCCTGTGAGTTATCCTACTACTTGTGTACCTTCTACATCTAGATCTCCCATGTGTCCTTTCAGAGCTTGTCTCCATCCCACTCCACAGCCCCTGCACTTCCTTGGGCCGGTCCTGTTCTGAATCATGTCCCACTCAGATTCTTTTCCCATGATAAAATGAACACTCCATTTCTAAAGGGAGGCTCTTGTGCACGCTGTGAGGAGACGTTCCCCAGGAAAGTTCAAGTGAGCATGTGATTTCCACTCTCTTCTCTGTTCTCCATTCCCTTCCCAACTGCCCAGCAAGAAACAACACTTCCCACAAGGGGAAACCTGGTTACAGCAGCTGATCTGAGATCCTGTTCTCTGGCCCTTTGTAGACACCCTTCCTCTTCCTCATTTCTTCCTCTTTCTTTTCCAAGAGTCCCCAAAGCTGTGTGCAACTTCTCACGATACCTTTAACTACTCCCGACACTGAGTTCAAACAGTGTTTGAACTGTAAGTAATTCTTTATCCACTGGCCCCTGAGCATGCATGCCAAATGGTCTGCCAGCCGTGGCTTTACTACTCCCGTATGCTTGGTAGAGCAGGCCAAATGCAGTACTGCCCCACACCAAGAAAAGCCCCCCTTCTTCAACCTTCATCATTCCTTCAGCTCCCATCTGCTTCTGGCACCAGAATAGTTGAAATCTAAGGAGGCTAGAATAGTGTATTACAATTTGGGGTTCTGAAAATATGATTGCCAAATTTACATCCTCATTTCAAAGCAAGCACGCTCCCCTCTCACCCTCAAACATAGACGCAGCAACATCAACCACACCACCAGAGCAGCAATAGCACAGACTAAATATTAAACTGGTGCAAAAGTAATTGCGGTTTTTGCCACTGAAAGTAATGGCAAAAACTGCAATTACTTTTGCACCAACCTAAATATTTCCATTTCTTTATCCCATTTCCCCATTCTGGTCCTAAGCCCCCCGTAAGTTCCTCCAGACTCAGTCCCCATTTTCAGCACTTCGCTGTCTACCATGTACCATGTATCGATCCACATCTCATTTTCTCTGCTTTGACCCTAATTCCATCCATCTGCCATACACTTACTCCAGTCCCGAAGGATGGGCTCAGGAGCCCCAATGTGCTCTACCACACAGGTGTAAGTGTCCCCGTAAGAGGGGGTTAAGGCTAAATGGGAGAGGGTCTGGTATGTCCAGTCTCCATTGGGCTGGGCAGTCTTGTGCGCACTGCTGTGAGGCATGACAAGCTTCCCGTTCTTCCTCCACGTGATAGTCACTTCTGCTGGATAGAAGCCCCACACATAGCAGGCCAGCATCACAGGCTCCCTCGTGTTAAAAGGAGTGGTTTTGGCTACTTGCACAGATGGTGGCCCTGCATAGGAGAAAAAAACATGTTTAGGAAGGAGGGTGACATTCTGGCTGCTTCCTCAACCTGGTTTCTTCCCTATCGCAACTCTTCGTAGATTTTGCAACCCACTTTCCACCCCAGCCCCCTCTGCCATGCTGCCCCTTGAAGGGGAACCGTTAGAATGTATTCCTGCATTACTCTTTCTTCTCTCCCATTCCTTCATTGCCCCTTTCTTTCTTTCCTCCTCCAGAATTATGTTTGATTACAATTAGTAAAAGCCAGATCTGAACTGCAAGCTGTTCTAGAAGTTGTTGTATTTATTTCAAGTACATAAACTGGAAAGTATTTGAAATAAGGAAGCTAAGAGTAATCCAGAGTTGTACATTGGGTTTTTTTAAGGTGGAAAAGGAATTTTTCTCCAAATCTTGTTTAATACGTTCTTTTGCTAGTTAAAGCTTTTTCTCCTCACATAGTTCAAGGAAACAAGCCTAACTTAGGACTCACTCTTAAATTTGGAATGAATGTAGTCAAACTAAAGAGATTGCTAATACTGCCATCTTTTACTAATTTACTCTCCTAGGTGATCCTCTTGCTTGCCTCTATCTTGACATTTTTCAAACACAATCTTAAATAAAAATCCAAGGAATTATGTTAAAATGCAGATTTCCTAGGCTGTATCCCCAGATACTTTCTTTCAACAGATCTGGAGTGGTACTAAGGGGCTTGCATCTTTAACAAGCACCTCCTCCAGGCAATTCTGAGAAAGGTGGTTCAGAAACCACCCTTGAGACACACTGTTCTGTACTGTGGAGATCTTCAAGTTTACTTTCACAAACTTCAAGCCATTGTCAATGCAAGAGTTTAAGGGTGAGAAAAAGCATGTGTCAGAATCCCCTGGGATTCCAAATATTCCCATGCCTGGGCCCACATCAGATCTGGAACATCAAAATCTGGGATAACAAGGCAAGAACATCTTGGGTATGCATCCTGAGATGCCCCAGCCTCTGCATAAGCTCCCCACATGGCACCTCGCGGTTCAAGCCTCACCTCCCCTTCTTTACTCCTGTTCCACTCACGTCAGCCACCTTGTTCCCCTTGAGGTTCAATCCTCCGTCTTTCTACATTTCAGATCCACACATTTTCTCTTATTTGCTGCTCAAATCTCAAACCCCTGGGCCACTGTGGGATCCTCCCTGGCCTGCCCTCCTAACTGCACTTCCTGGTAGCCCCTCTGCACCCCTCTCTCCTCACGTGTCCTGTTGGTCAGTGATCCCCAGAAGGGCTGGGTGTGTGTGGCACAATTCTGAAGCCCATTGCGCAAGCGCTGCATCAGGGTGTCTTTTTGGTTGAGGTGCTGTGAGAGGACATTCGCCAAGCTATTCAGCACCCCAAATTCGCAAGGGGCCATCTTATTCTCCTCTGGATCCCAGCAGGTCAGCAGATCCTTGTTGAAGGAGATGCAGTATGTGAAATCCTTTGGAGTCCCAGCATCATCCAACAGACAGGTGCTTTCCACATGGGCCACGAAGCCACCTAGAGGAGCCAGGGAAGGGAGAACAGGTCAATGTCTTCTACTGGCCTGGCAATAAATAAATAAATATATAAATAATAAATATACACAAATAATAAATATATAAAACATACAGACGTATATTTAGGAGCTCTGCACAGAGCTTTGTCTTTGACCCTGGTTCCTGACATAGAGTGCCTAATCGCTTAGAATTTCCTAGATAACAGGAGTGTCTTTTGTTCTAATGAGGTACTCTTGGTGGGCTCCTGCAGGAGGGGCTGGTCACCAGAAAGACCAAGTCATGATTAGAAGTCTGGAACTTTTAGTCCCATCCCCCATACTCCCTGAAGGGGAAGGGGCTGGAGATTGAGTTAATAATCAGTCATGCCTACATGATGAAGCCTCCATAAAAATCCCGGAACTATGGAGTTCAGAGAACTTCTCAGTTGGTAAACACATCCACATGCCAGGAGGTGAAGTACCCCAATTCTGTGGGGACAGAGCTCCTGTGATTGGGACCCTTCCAGATCTGGTATCTCTTCATCTGGATGTTCCTTTGTATGCTTTAAAATATCCTTTGTTAAAGGATGCAAAATTATGATCTAGTGTTCTATACCACTGTGGGATGACTGTCATTAACAATAATACTTTATATCATTTCAAATCGCTAGAAGAAGGATATGGAATGTTTCCAACACAAAGAAATGATAAATGAGATGATGATCTGATCTGATCACTGTACATTACATGTACTAAAACATCATTATCCACCCCATGAATATTTATAATTATTATTATCAATTAAAATATCCTTTGTAAAAAATCTACAATAATAAGTAAACTTTTCCTGAGTTCCATAAGCCACTTTAGCAAATTACCAACCCCAAGGAGGGGGTCATGGGAACCTCTGATTTGTAGGCAAGTTGGACAGAAGATGTGGGTAATTTGGGAACCTACTACTTGTGATTGGTGTCTGAAATGGAGGCAGTCTTATGGGACTGAGTCTTTAACCTTTGGTGTCTATGTTAACTCTAGTTAATGTCACAATGGAATTGAATTATAGGATATCCAGCTAATATAGGAGAATTGGTTGGTATGAGTAAAAAAAAAAAAAAAACCTCACACAGTTGGTCAAAGAAGTGTTGAGTGTGAGCATATAGAAGAAAAAAAGTTGATTTTTCCTATATTCAGCTCAGAACCTAAGCCTTGGTGACATCCAGCTAGTCTGGCACAGATTTCCTGCTCAGGGAACATCTACTGACCAAGCTCATACACTGAAGTTTCTGAAAGTCTGATTTGAGGGAGTCAGTAGAAGTAGTAGATAAGTTTTTAGATCCAGTCTCCTCTTTATGCAAGACTAAGCACAGGGATAGGAGTAGCCCCCCGAGATTATTTGCATGTTTAAACATGACAATTTGCCCAGAACACAGACCTTCAGTAAGGCAAATTATTGAGAGAGAAAAAGGGTCAAGAGAAAGAGTCAGCCTTGTATTGTGCTGGAAATATTAAATATTCACTTCGCACATATTTATGAAGCACTTGCTGCATGCAAGGCACTGTGCTAGGAGCTGAGGAGGCAGCAATAAATAAGATGAACATTGTCCTTGCCTATATTCCAGCAGGGAATATACACTGCACAGATAATTATACAGATTAATTACATTAAAATTGCTACAAAGTACAAAGTGCTATAGGAATGTATACCAGGGAGACAAACTATCTGGGGTGTCAAATGCAATTACAAAACGGAACACCCTTACCCTGAAACAGGAGCAGGGGAAGGGAGAGTCCCCAGAAGAAGTGTCCTTACCTGCTCCTGTGCAGCCCAGGCTGAGCCCCAGCAGCAGCGGCAGGAATGTGATCATGCTCTGCTCTGTAAAGATGCCGGGAGTTCAGTCCCCTGGACCAGCTCTTCCAGGGTCCGTGGGTCCTCGCCTGTCCCAGAAGCCCCAGCCTGGGTAGATGATCTCCAGACACTGAGCAGAATACTATATTGCCCGGGTCCCTTGACCCCCCAAATGAGTGATGTGGGGATACCCAGCCCCTAGATATTAAATCTGTTCCTTCCAGCTCACGGGAGTCCAGTGTCCCAAACAGGGACAGATTGGCTAGGTAGGCAGGGACAAATGTAGAGACAAATCACTGAGTGCCTCAGCCTAGCATCATCAGTTACTAGGTAAACGTCATCCTGCCTTAGTCTTAGACAACAGGTCTCCTTGTCTCTCTTAATTCTTTTTCTGCAGAACAACCAGTAGATTTCCGTAGATTACTGGAGAGAATAATCGCAATATTCCCAGGATGTATGCAGCCTGGGCTGCCCACTGGTTTAACTTTTTCTTCTCAATGCTCTCCCAAAAGACCAGGACCAGATAACCTCTCCTATTCCTTACAGGGAGGTTACCCAAGAAGATAATTACAAAAACCCTTGTCTGTCCTGAGATGAGAGGACCCAGAGCCCTTCTGGGGCAGGTGGCAGAGGCAGGGCTGCTGAGAAGGAAGAAGGCACAGACAGAGTACAGAATTGTCTGGTCTCAAAGCAAGACTGCAGAATAAGGGAAGCAGCGCCACCATGGAGATCAGGAATAGGGGCCTGGAAAATCCCTCCATGGGCCTCCATTGTTGCTTCTGTTCTAGCCAGTCAAGCTTCATTTCCTCCTCAGTTATAATAGCTGCTTTCCGGAGCTAGTAAACCATATCCTCCTACACTCTGAGCAATCTCACGGGGTAGACCGCAGGTTAACACCTCTCAGACTCCTTGAAAAATAGCTGGTGACGGGTCAGTGCCCAGAGCTCACCTGCCTTTCGCCAAACTCTAAACACCCCTGTGTGTTTCCCCTACTATACCCTGTTCCCTGGGGGCAGGTCCCTGCATTATGAAGCCACTAGGAAAATGAGATAAAGCTTTCCTACTTTTCTTCCCCTGAAAAGACAGATTTTGTTTTTTATTTTTTGAGAATACCAAGTAAGATTTTATTTTTTATTTATTTTAAATTATTTTAACCTTTGTTTTAGGTTCAAGGGTACACATGCAGGTTTGTTATATAGGTAAATTGTGTGTCATCGGGATTTGGCGTAAAAATTTATTTCATCACCCAGGTAATAAGTATAGTATCTGATAGGTAGTGTTTTGATCCTCTCCCTCCTCCCATCCTCCACCCTCAAGTAGGGCCCAGTGTCTATTATTCCCTTTTTTGTGTCCATGTGTACTCAATGTTTAGCTCCCACTTATAAAAGTGAGAACATGCAGTATTTCATTTTCTGCTCCTGTGTTAGTTTGCCTAGGATAACAGCCCCCAGCTCCATCCATGATGCTGCAAAAGACGTGATCTCGTCCTTTTTTGTCTGTGGAGTATTCCATGGTGTATATGTACCACATTTTCTTTATACAGTCTACTGTTGGTGGGCATTTAGGCTGATTCCATGTCTTTGCTATTATGAATACTGCTGCAGTGAGCATTCATGTGCATGTGTCCTTATGGTAGAACAATGTATACTCCTTTGGGTATATGCCTAATAATGGGATTCCTGGGACGAATGGTAGCTCTGTTTTAAGGTTCTTGAGAAATTGCCAAACTGCTTTCCTCAATGGCTGAACTAATTTATGTTCCCACCAGCAGTGTATAAGCCTTCCGTTTTCTCTGCAACCTCTCCAACATTTGTTATTTTTTGACTTTTTAATAATAGCCATTCTGACTGGTGTGAGACGGTATCTCATTATGATTTTGATTTGCATTTTTCTAATCATTAGTAATGTTGAACATTTTTTCATATGCTTCTTGGTCACGTGTGTGTCTTGAAAAGGCAGATTTTATGTATTTGCGTATTTATTTTTTTCACAGGTTTTTTTTTTGAAAGTCTCACTCTGTCGCCTAGGCTGGAGTACAGTGGGATAATCTCGGCTCACTGCAATCTTCGCCTCCTGGGTTCAAATGACTCTCATGCCTCAGCCACTTGAGTAGCTGGGGTTACAGTCATGTGCCACCACTCCTGGTTAGTTTTTGTCTTTTTTTTTTTTTTGGTAGAGACAGGGTTTCATCATGTTGGCCAGGCTGTTCTTGAACTCCTGACCTCAAGTGATCCACCCACCTCAGCCTCCTAAAGTGCTAGGATTACAGGCATGAGCCATCGTGCCTGGCCTGAAAAAGCAGATTTTAAACGGCAATTCATTCTTCTATCCCATTGTGAACTATACAGTTGATGGATTTTCCATCACTAACTTGAAACTCTAAATTGGCTTCCTTCTGCTCCCCAGTAGGTTTCAGGGCTGCCTCTTCACATCTTAGTTTCTGAGAACTCTTGGATTTTATTAAATAGTGAGCTAAACAAAAGAGGATTGTGGAAGGGGCCCCTTGACACCACACTTACCTGCCCTCCCTCAAAGTCCCTGATCTCAGGAAAATCTAACACCTATGAAGAAAATGGGGATAAAAAATGCATACAAAGATTATTACCAAAAACGAAAGATTCGTTGTGTAACTAATTGAGATTAACTGAAGCTCTGCCATAGCTCCCAGCCACTGCCCCCACTCACCTTGCTTATATACTCTAACTCTGCTAACGAACTGTCAAGTGTGTTGGAATGGGCAGAATATGGGGTGGGGAGTGCATAATCTGTAGAGCTTCTACAGATACAGTGCTAGGTAGGTCCTTTCTATAATATCTCATCTCATCTTAAAAGACTTGTTGGCCGGGCATGGTGGCTCACGCTTGTAATCCCAGCACTTTGGGAGGCTGAGGAAGGCATATCACCTGAGGTCAGGAGTTTGAGACCAGCCTGGCAAACATGGTGAAACCCCGTCTCTACAAAAAATACAAAAATTAGCTGGGTGTGGTGGCGCGTGCCTGTAATCCCAGCTACTCTGGAGGCTGAGGCAGGAGAATCGATTGAACCTGGGAGGTGGAGGTTGCAGTGAGCCGAGATCGTGCCACTGCACTCCAGCCTGGGTGACAGAATGAGACTGTCTCAAAAAAAAAAAAAAAAAAAAAAAAAACTTGTTAATTGTCCTCATTTCCCAGGTTGGAAAACAGGTCCAAAGATTCACACCCAAGGTCTAAAGGCTGTAACTCCTCTTCTTATACAGCTGTTACACATGCACGTGTGTACACACACACACACATACACACTCTCTTGAGCATGCCCACACACTCACTACATCTTGGAACTGGGATGGCTCAAATAAAGGGAGTTAGTGAGGCCTCCGCTGAGAAAGAGAGAAAGAGAAGAGTCACAATCCATAACCCAATTCACCCAAGTCTTATCTTTCCTGTCCTCAGAGTTCCTTCTGCTCTGAGAACCACCGTCCCTTCCACTTTCTCTTTTGACAAGTTTCAAAACTGAATTTTCCCCCACACCCCCCCAATACATTTCCCCCTCACATTCCTCCCCATCCTGCCCAGGTAAGCTGTTAGCCTAACCTTATAGGAACCAAGTCCTGGGATCCTTTTCAATGTCTACAAAGCCTAGCCCTGGCAAGGGAGCACTGGCTGTGTGGTCCTGTGCCAGCACTGAACATGGCCCTAGCCAGTAACAGTGGGGCTGAATGTAGTTCCCTCTTATGTCTAGATCTCTGCTCCGGCAGTCAAAGGAGATGTGAAACCTTCTGTGAGGCCACAACAGGAAATGGTAGGAGAGGATTTCACTTCTCTATTAATTCAAACACTGAGGGAGCTTTTTAGAATAAAGAAGGACAGAAAACCCAGACACCTGTGCTCAGCAGTGTTTTCCTTCCTCTCCTCCTCCCAACCCTTCCATTTTTACAGATATAGCTCTGTCTTTCCACCTCTAGCCAATTCAAAATAACATTTCAGTTGCTCTGTCCATTGTTACTTATTTGTTAATTATTGATATAGCACCGGGACCGAAGAGGTATGGAGCCCCAACCAGGTTCCCACATGTTGCCTTTCTTTTATTGCCTCTACACAACCACCCAAAGAGTGAGTCCTCTCCTTTCCCATTGCCTCTGCCCTTAGCCTGACCACCACATGCCTGCAGTAAACTAGTCCCAGGGTTTGTGTGCAAAGCATTACTGGGAAAATACAGAGTGAGAAGATATGGATTCTGCCCCCATATCGCTTTGCTTGTACGTCAATTGGGGAGTGAGAACAAACACTTTAAATAGTTTATATTAAAGTAAGTAAGCAATAAGGCCAGTGGTCTTAAAAGAGAAGAGAGAAATCACCATGGACATGGTAGACAGGGAGTACTCTCAGTCGAGAGGGCCTGGAATGAGCCTTGAATACTGGGCTGGATTTGTGTTGGAGAGGAGGAAGGCAGTTGGCATTGTAGGTCTGGTGTATAGCTCCACAAGCTTGACAATGCTGTGAGGTGCCATCAGGGAGGAGGTGTCCTACGAGAGCCTGGGTTAGCTAAAACAAAGACAAGCTACAATAACGTCACTGGCACTGCACGTTGGAGGAAGTCACAAATGTGATTTCTTGTTTTTTTCTGAGAGTATGGCCATAATAATAAATCTCTTCTAGGCACTTCCTAAAGTTGCTCCATGTCAGTTCGCAGGTTCTTGGGGCAGACGGTTTTAACTGAAGTCTCCATTTTATAAACACAAAATTGCTCAACCAGTTAATCACGCCTCATAGCATAAGACCACATTCGTGACTTCAGTGTCTTTTCAAAACTACACACACCTACATCCTGCCAAGATTATATTACTTGCCCAATCTGTCCAATCCCCACCCCACCCCTGCCATCTACCCCTTACCTCACCTCCGCCCACACACACACCCTCCTACCCTGTCAGGATTCACTGCTCTAGACCCTGACCTTTGGATTATAGTTTCTGTAGTCAGTTCACCATCCTTCCAACCTACAGTCAAATTATTTGAACTACTAGGGATAGTCTATCTGATTTGCCACAACTATTTTTCCTTTTTTAATTTTATTTTTTGCCACCACAACTATTGAAGAATGCTATCTTCATCTTACCCACGAGAAAATGGAGGCAGAGGGAGGTTAAGTGGTTGCCCAGATTTACCCAGATACTAAGTAATAAAACCATTACTTGAACTCAGGATTTATTACTTTAAATCCTGTATTGCCAATAATCAATTGGAAAATAACTGAAAATTGCCTACTATTTATAATAACAATAAAAACCATAGCATATTTATGAATTAACATATCAAATATAAGAATTTTAAGAAAAAAGAAAACTTTATTGAAGTGCACAAAGACCTGAGAGGTGTAGAGATATACCATATTCATGGATAGGCCATGCTAACATAATGACAACCTCTCCCCACATCTCTAACCTAAATGCTACCCCAATTAAAGTAACAGTAGGATTTCAGGAGAATTTAACAAACTGATTATAGAATGTACATGGAAATAAAGTCCAAGAGTATCTTAGAATATTTTGATAAAGAAAAGGAAAATAAATTTTTTGGGAAGGTGGTGAAGGAATGGAGACTAGTTCTACTAAATAGTAACACATATTAAAAAGCCAAAATAATCAAACAATATGATACTGATTAGTAATGAGAGAAAAGCAAATTAAAACAACAAAATACCACTCTACACCCACCATGTTGCCAACATTTGAAAGTCAAATAATTACAAGCATTAGTGAGCATAAAGGGAAATGTGAACTATCTTGCTCTGTTGATGGGAGTGTAAACTGTTTATGATCCCTGAATTATAGAAATTATAAACTAGTTGGGCGAAAAAATTAACATAGGAAATAAAGCGGCATATCCCAATCCTTAGGTTGAGTGCTTTAAGTCTTGGAAGATTTCAATAAAGAGAAATTAGGGGCAGGTTCATGGAATAAGTTGAACTGGAGTTGGACCTATGGAGTGGGTTAAGACAGGAACAAGATGAGCAGAATAAAGAAAGCATTCTTGTGAGAGGAAAGAGCCTGGGCAAATGCCCTAAACCAAAACCAGATATAATACCTCAAGGAAGAGTGAGGAAAAAAGATTTATTCAAGAATAGCATTCCTGCTGGGAATAGTGAGTAATATTTTTTATTAGAAAAGGGGCACCAGACTAGAGAGGATACTGAGTGCTTCTAGAGTACTTAAGTAACAGTATCATAGAAGGTTTCATCAGAGAGCATCTAATCTAAGCCCATCATTTTACAGATGAAGACTTTGAGGCCCAGAGAGGGGAAGTGACTTGTCTAAAGTCACACAGCATAATAAAGCACTTTTAAGTCTTGCCTGACAGGAAATATCTAGATAAGTTGGAAAACAGAGAGACAGAGAAATTAGGAAGAACTAGAAAGCACCACATCTAGAATTACTAACATGAGAATAAAAAGAAAAACATCTAAAATGGAGAAAATACAATACTTGAAGCTAGTATTGAGGTATATTTCAGAAAAGAGAAAGAAGTCTACGAGGCAACTAAGTTCTCCTCTGAAGATCAAGACCAATAATGATAAGGTTAGGTTATTCAGCACATTTTCTATGTGCCAAACACTATTTTAAGCATTCTGTAGGTATTAACTTATTTAAGCTTCACAGCATGAGGATATGCTGCCTTATTTCCTATATTAACTTTTTCACTCAACTAGTTCATAATTTCTGTAATTCGGGCATCATAAACAGTTTACATTCCCACCAACAGACCAAGATATTACAGTTCACATTTTCCTTTATCCTCGCTAATACTTATTTGACTTTCAAATGTTGGCAACATGGTGGGTGTAGAGTGGTAAGGGGGACACCATTGTTATCATCATCCTTTTACAGAAAATGACACCAAAGCACAAGTTAAGTAACTTGCCCAAGGGCTCACAGCTAAACGCTGACAGTTACGATTGAATCCCCAGCAGTCAGGTTCCAGAGCCCATGCTTCTTAACCGGTACACATGATGCTGTTAGAAATGAGATGGTTCAGAGACAGTGCAACTTCTCTTAGGGAGAATTTAATATTTTCTTTTAGATTAGACTCTAGTACAATGCCAAGAACAGAAACTCCCTCACCAAATAATTGCCCTCTCAACTTTATTGCCACCCTGTCATCCAAAGCAACTCCCAGACCCTAAGGAATGCAAGAAAGAAAGCATATGCAAAGCAATTTACCACCAGTGGTCATGTGCTGCCACCTTTCGTTATCTTCCCAGGACAGCACCTGTGCAGTTCTCCTTGGACAGTTCACTCAGGCCAAGGAACAGATTGTCAGGAAAGACATGTGAATTCTTTGCCCTTCCAGGCTGTTTTCACTTCATGTTAGGGGCTTCATGATACTGTTTTCCCAGAACTGACATAACTGATTGGTATAGCACTTGGGAGCTTATTCTTCCCATCCCTGAGCTTCTGTTTCTCAGTTACGGTGAGGGTTGAAGGGAGTTATATGTTCCTCAGGGCAGCCTATACGAGACATAAACATTTTCACAAACAGTAAAATACACAACACACACACACACGCACAAAACACACAAGCAGCTTCCTTAACCATTTTGTAAGCAGATTATTAGAAAATAACTCTGCCTTCGTTTCTCACATATTTTGCACAAACCGATAGATGGAAAAACATCATGTACCGCCAAGACCAGGGAATAAGAGCTCAGCTGGCAAATTAGGGGTTTTCCCTATTTCCCTCCCTAACGAGGTCAAGCTGTGTTCAGGTTAAGGCATGCTGAATTTGAAACGACAACCCACTCAAGTTGAGATATCCAGAAACAAATACCATGAGTTAAGAAAGAAGCCACACTGATATAAAGAAATGAGATTTATTGCCTTGTGGGGGGAAGGGATGTGGTTGTGATAGGCAGGCCACTCTGGGATCCCTGGGATGCAAGCCCAGGGACAGCAGAGTCCCCAGGTGGGAAATCTACACACACACCCCAGGGATGTCCCAGAGACTTCTTCTACCCTAAGAGGAGATCCTGGGCAGGATGTGAGAAATCTGAGCATCCTCTGTTTGGATGGCCGAAGCTGCTGGCATCAAACTCTGGTCTGGAAGAATCAGTCTGGGGGAGAGACAGGGATGGAGGAAAGGCATCAGGGGATCCATCCTCCTCCTTCTTCTCCTCCTCCTCCTCCCCCACAAAGGCCTTGCTCGCCCTGCCTGCACCACACCCTGCAGAAGTTGATCTCTCCTTGTTCCCAAATCATCTCCAAGCACCCTTCCTACAGCACCCCATGATTCCTTTTTTCACTCAAAGCAATTCTTGTGACCCATAACTGTGTGTGTGTAACTGGGTCCCCAACTGGGAAGATGTGCCCCCATGGTGCTGGATACAGGCCCCCACACCCAAGGGCCTGAGGATCGCTATATGTCCCCCCATGCCACAAAATAATCCTGACACATGCACGCATGCACCACTGTATCTGGCTCCCACAGGCTCACCCGCCCCCTCCAGATGACATACCACCTGAGCAAGGCTTCCGGAAGTAGATGATGAGAACAATGCCCACGATGATGCCCAGCACACCCAGGCCAAAGGCCACGCCACACAGCACATTCTCCAGCAGATCTGAGGGCAGTGCGTTCCGGGGTACTGGAGGAAATGAGTGGCTCAGCCTGGGGACCTAGTTAGGGAGCCTCCCACCCAGGGAAATGACGTGGGTGTCTGGGATGACATGGGAGACTGGGATGGGCTTAGGGTAGGAATGGACTAAACAAGGTACCAGTGGAGAAAGAAGCCTCCTCCCATGGATCTATCCCTTTTTGCCCCCAAAAGGACCAGAATTCCAGGGAGAAAGCCTCACCCCAATAGGCAATTGCTGTGTAGCGGTCAATTTCGTGAGTCACAATGCAGGAGAAAATGTCAGAAGGTTCTGGTGTGAAGTTTAAGTAAGAAAAGGCCTGGAAGCTGAGTCCATCGACAGCTGAGACAAAAGTAGGCCCAAATCCTTCCACAGGGACGGAATGATGCTGCCAGTTCACTGTCAGCATGGGTGGGAAGAGATTACTGACAAAACAGACCAAAGTGTTGGGCTTGCCAAACTCCAGGGGCTTCAGCGTGAACACTTCAGCGATAGGAAACCCTGGTGGGGGGATTGAAGTGTAGGGGGAAAAAGAGACTAGTTTAGATGGTATCTCTGTGTTTGGAGGGGCCATGGCATATGGAGGGGAGGGCAGAGAAGAACACAGTGGGTCAGGCTTTGGGAGACAGAGATGAGCGAGGAGCTGGGCTCTGAAGGGAGGTCTTCTTCCAGGCAAGGACTGCAGCTAGACGTAGAAGCAGAGCCAGATCCAGGCTACTCTGGACCCCTCCACCATGACTTCCTTCAGCACTTCCTGTCTAGAGCTCACATTGATGTCTAACCATGCACTGTCTTCTCACTAAGACATAGTCACGTCATCAGATATTTCCACTCTTCCCATCCATCTTGCTGGGCATAGTAGCACAAGTGTTAATATTCAGTAGGTATCAGTTGGTACCTGTTGAATTCATCACATTCAATACATAGTTCTGAATGCCTACTACATGCTAGGTACTTCGGCCCACCAAAAGAACACAGGGTGCAGACCAAGGCTGGTGGAAAAATTAAGGTGATGAAGAGAACCAGAAAGTATTTGAGATGGGGAGCTGGTATCAAGGGGAATTATTCAGTGTACAGATCAATGAGGTTAATGCAGCCCTCCTCCCTTCACTCCCCAGAAAACTCCTGACCTCTGGACACCGGGATTTTCCCATCAAGTTTTGGCCCTATTTGCTGGATCATCCACTCGCAGAACTCTTTGTCAAATAAAATGGCAGGAGCATCTCCCTGTTCCTGAGCCCAGTCAGCAAATTCGGGCAGGCGAGGCACCCGAGTGTTCTGGGAAAAGTCGAAGAAGAAAAGCTGGTCCTCGTCGTAGGCCTCAGAGAGTCCCACACTGGGACTCCCATCCTGGCAGTACACTGTGTGCAGGAATGTGTGGTTTTGCAGGTCATCTGGCCACATTGGAGTAGGAGCTGCAAAGGACACAGGGTGAGGTTCAGGGAGGTGGGAGCCTTCTCCTCCAACTTAAAAAACAGCAAGGTGGGGCTAGGCGCAGTGGCTCATGCCTGTAATCCCAGCACTTTGGGAGGCCAAGGTGGGTGGATCATGAGGTCAGGAGTTTGAGACCAGCCTGGCCAGCATGGTGAAACTCCATCTCTACTAAAAATACAAAAAAGTAGCTGGGCATGTTGGCATGCGCCTGTAGCTACTCGGGAGGCTGAGGGAGGAGAATTGCTTGAACCAGGGAGGCAGAGGTTGCCGGGAGCTAAGATTAAGCCACTGCACTCCAGCCTGGGTGACAGAGTGAGACTCTGTCTCAAAACAAAACAACAAAAACAAGCAAGGCCTGCTTAAGGAGCGTGGGCTGAGGTGAGACCCTTTCCTGTGTCTGTTATTTAGACTCCCCCTCCCAAAGGGGGTGAAGAACAAATTATGGCATCTCTCCAAGCTTCCCCTGCCTATAAAAAGGCCAGTTGGCAAAAGTAAAGAGTTCTACTTTCTAAAGTGACAGATTCAGGCCAGGCATGGTGGCTCATGCCTGTAATCCCAGCACTTTGGGAGGCTGAGGCAGGCAGATTGCTTGAGCCCAGGAGTTCAAGACCAACCTGGGCAACACAGCGAGACCCTGTCTCTACAAAAAATACAAAAACTTAGCCAGGTGTGGTGGCAAACACCTGTGGTCTCAGCTACTCTGGAGGCTGAGGCAGGAGGATTGCTTGTGCCTAGGAAGTTGGGGCTGCAGTGAGCCATGATTGTGCCACTGGACTCCAGCCCAGGTGACAGAATGAGCCCGTCTCAAAAAATATATATATAAAGGCCGGGCGCGGTGGCTCAAGCTTGTAATCCCAGCACTTTGGGAGGCCAAGGCGGGTGGATCACCTGAGGTCAGGAGTTTGAGACCAGCCTGGCAAACATGATGAAACCCCATCTCTACTAAAAATACAAAAATCAGCTGGGTGTGGTGGCATGCGCCTGTAATCCCAGCTACTTGGGAGGCTGAGGCAGGAGAGTCTCTTGAACCCCAGAGGCAGGGGTTGCAGGGAGCCGAGATCACGTCACTGCACTCTAGCCTGGGTGACAGAGCGAGATGCCGTGTCAAAAAAAATAAATTAAATCAAATAAAAAATTTAAAAATGTATATATATAAAATAAAGTGACAGATTCAGAGTCACTGTTCATTGTGTGTTTGGGGGCTGCACAAAGACACCTAGCCAAAGAAGCAAGTGAAAGCCTGCATTCTGCTCACCATGCCATACATCCTGGCATAGGGCTGTATCCTCCCAAAGGGGATTCCTTTGTCTAATTCATACCAGGCCACTGTATTGACTAGAGAAGGCCATGGATGGGTTTCTCACTCTTAGAAGGGAAAGAGGAGGAATGGCTACAGCCTCCCCAAGCCATAGATGGGACTGCCTCCCACTATCCCCAGACACAAATGGTAAATTGGAAAACCTGTATCCAGACATTTCTTCAGCCACTTCATTGGCACCAAGCGTCTCTCAAAATGTCTTCTGTTCCTTAACCTACCAGGCCTCCCAAAGACAGCAATGGGAGAAGTGACCCCATAACTGCATAAAATAATCCCTCTTCTTTGAAGCTCTTGGCAGGAATCGCTCAGCCAGCAGGAAACCTTTAACCCAATACCCAGAAAAACAGACATTTGGAGGAAGAGGGATCTTCCAGATTATTCTTCCATTCTGCCCCATCCTCTACAGAGAAGGAAACTAAGACACTTTTCAAGAATCACAAGATAAGTTAATGATAGAAAGCAGAGTAGAATCTTGAGTGGAGGAGTGAAAATAACATTCACTTTGTTCAAATCCCAGCTCTACCACTTTCCAATGGTGTGAACTTGCACAAATAACTCTGAGTCTCATTTTCTTCATTTGTAAAATGGAGAGAACAATCTCCGCTTCAAGAGATTGTCTTAAATGGAACATGCAAAGCATCACTGATATCGTTTACCAACCACACATAGCAGCTGTCTTTCCCCACTCCCCTGTTGTTTCCACTGCCTCATAAGACTTCCCACCACTCACAAAGCACAGCGCTTTTCCTCACAAAGCTGAGTGGGCTCCCTAGGTTCAGGATGGAAGTAAATAGGAGTACCATCTTACCTTCAGGGACGGCCCAGGAGTGGGGTAGCAGCCACAGAAGTGGTAACATCTGTAGCAGCGCAGCTCCTTGGTTCTGTTCATGACCCATACCTTCTTGCCACACAGTAGGTAGGAGCTACCAACCCAGCCAACCCAGCTTCCCCAACTCCCTCCCCGAGAGGGTGGCCTTAGATCATGTTTTGCCAGATCATTTCCAATAGGTGCCCTTGTCATTTTGTCTAAACCAATCAGAGAAGCGTAGGGTTTAACATCATCAGTCACTGGGGAGACGCCTGGGGCCAGTAACCTCCTGAAGACTTGGCTGTTTGACCAGGGCAGAGTATGGCATGTAACTGGGCTGGGAAGCCCAGTGGAGGAATGTTGCTTCCTGGTGGAGTTCCCTCTTTGGTTTCAAGCTGTCAGCCTCAGTCTGTAAGCGACCAGCTGGCTCTTCAGAGCAGTGCCACCTCCTGGCAGAATGCTGCAATGGGGAACCGCATCTTCCCCAAGTAAACCCCCAGGGCTCTTCGGACCCTGCCTTCTCCTCCCTCCTGGCTCTTCCTCTTTCTCAAAAAAACTTATTCTCCTTCAGGCATTAGCTCTAATTCATTTGGCAGACATATATTGAAAATACAAGAAATTCTGGGTGTTGGGCCCAGGGCTAGAAATACAAAGATGAATAGGCATAGTCTGCCTTCAAAGAGCTTAGAGTCTAGTGCTGGGGGAGGGGGCCAAGGGATAATTACACAACAATGTAATGTATTCAAATAAGAATGTGCCAAGTGTTTTGGAAGTCGCAGTAATTTTATGAGGATGCGGAATAGGAGGAACATAATCAGGCAGGCTCCTAAGACTTGAAGGAAAAACAATTTGGCCAGCAGAACATGAAGGAAGAGAAAAACACGCCAGGGCAAAGGGTAGGCAGAAGTACAAAGATCACAGGCATCCAGAGGTCCTCTTTGGAGACCCTGTGTACTAGTTGATATGAATGTTGTGAAGGTCGCTTGGGTGTTCCTGTATAATAGGAGGTAATGGGGGGTAGAAGGATGTTGTGATAAGCTACAAATTCGGGCAAGGGCCAGATCACGTGGGCCCTGCTACGCCACAAGGAGGAGCTTGCTTTTACTTAGCAGATGATAGAGATATTAAAACTGGGGAATGACAATCATTTTAGCATTTTGGAAAAAATGTTCTGATTGATATTTCAAACAATGAACTGGAGCTTTTAAAGAATTGAGGCAAAACTGCTGGGCAAGAGTCTATAGCATACCAAGATGAACAGTTGCACATATACACACCACTCCTGTAGCAATACAGCAATAATTTAAATGACAGATAATAAGAGCCTGAATTAAGTCATAATAAGAGGAGGCGGAGGAGATAGAATATCAAGATAATTAGGAAGTAGAATCTAAAGGGTTTGGCTACTGATTAGCTGTGGGAGTGGGAAGGTGGAGGAGTCAAAGATATCTCAGATTTCCAGCATGGGTGGCTGGGTGGGTGGTCAGGGATGGACTGAATTGAAGCAGAAAAGAATGCCATGGGAGCAGGTTTACAGAGAGAAAGAGCTTGATTTTGTACATGTTGAATTTGAAATGCCAGTGGAACAGCCAGCTGAAACTGCATGGGAGCGCAGTGAGGCGTGTGGGTATGGACCCCAGGTATGGTCTGAAGACCCTGATTTGAGAGTCATCAGCACAAATGTCGAAGCAGAGGCCATGAATAAGATCACCCAAGTAAACTGTGCAGAAGGAGTGGGAAGTGAAACAAGGACAAAAGCATGCATGGGCTCAAACCCCAAACCTCATACCAGTTATCCAGGATCCAGTCAGGAGCATTTAACTACTTTATGTGCTTCAGACTGAAAGAATTTAATATAGAGAATTGGTTACAAAGGTGTTAAAAGGGCAAGAAGTACAAAAAAAAAAAAAAAAAGGAGAGTCCTAGAAATGTACATTTTAAAAAAAGATTGCTATCTGGAAATCAGAAGCTGCCATCATCCCTGAGCTGGAATCTGTAAATCTACTCATTGCCTTGTGAGAGACACTGTCATAGTCAGTTCCAATCTACTAGAAAGGTGCCACCTCCTTCAAGGCTAGAATCCTTGAGAAGGTACTTCTGCTCAGGAGGCTGGAGTCCTGAGTCTCCCATTCTTCCTGCTGCTACAGCTACAGCCAATAGCTACCAGCTATTGCCAGCCACCGACACTGTTTAGAGGCTGAAGCAGGATGCTTCTCAGTTTCTCTTGCCTTCTGATCTCCCATCAGTGCCTCCTACTGGCAGAATCAAAAAGGAAGCCAGATGTCCAGGAAGGCTGGGAAATACACACCTGGCTGACTCCTAAGCTAAGCAGTTCAAAACACAGTAGAGGAGGGTGTGTGTGTCACTGAGACAAAGATAATAACGAGTACACTGAAATACCCTGGTTTGTAAGAATCTGGTGGCACGAGGACCATCCAGAGCACTAAGAAAAGACCAAGGTAGAAGCAGATCAGAGAAATAAAAAAGAGGTGTGCCATGAAGGAGGGCAAGGTCAGCATTTTTAAATGCTACTCAAAAGTCAAGAAAGGATTGAAAAGTGTCCTTAGATTTGGTGATTATGAGATGGCTGACAAATTTATTGAGAGCAGTTTCAGTGTTGTAGTGGGAGTCAACTCCAGATTGTGGTGGGCTGAGAAGTAAGTGGGAGGTGAGGAAGAAACTGTCAGTGTACATGCTTCAAGTTTGTTAGACAAAAGAAAGAGAAAGACAGAAGGGGTGGGGGAAGAGGCAGTGAGAAAGCTCTAATGTGGCAATCAAGTAATCTGAGAAATTAATATATGTGAATATTGTCCAACAGTGTTTCTGAGGCTTTCAAAATTCATACCTTCCACCTTTTTTTTTTTTTTTTTAAGACAAAGTTTCCCCTGTTGCCCAGACTGGAGTGCAGTGGCTACTTACAGGTGCAATCATAACTCACTCCAGTCTTGAACCCCCGAGTTCAAGCGATCCTCCCGCCTCAGTAGCTGGGGACTATAGGCACATGCCACTGTGCCTGGCTTCATATCCTCTTTTGATAAACAAGTAATAGCAGCAGTAATAGCCAAAAACAAAAACAACTCTATGACCTCCTAGATATTCTGGAACAGCAATGTGTATATATGTGTGTGTGTCTGTGTGGTGGAGGCAGGGTGCCAGGGAAGGACTAGGGTTTGGAAATCATGGTAACCCTCCAGAAAACAAAAGAACATTTCCCAGTATCCCAACATTTATGCACTAACCCATCAGCGGTTCTGGCAGTGGGGAGATTCAGGCCCCTGGACAGTAGAAAAGAAGTTTATGAGACTACCAGTGGGGAGACATATGGGACACAGCCACCTAGAGTCCTAAACCAGGGGTTAGCAAACTTTTTCTGTAAAGGGCCAGATGGCAAATATTTTAGACATTGTGGGCTATCAGATCTCTGTCATGAGTACTCAACTGTGGCACGAAAGCCTCCATGCACAATATGTAAATGAAGGAGAGTGGCTGTGTTCCTAGTTTCCTCCTAGCTTTTCCTCCCACTTCTTGAGCATCTCCTTCTCAGTCTCCTTCATAGACTCCTTCCTTTCAGCTACTCTTTAAATACTGGTGTTCCCTGGAGTTTTTGTCCTCAACCCTCTTTTTATTTATGGACACTAAAATTCAAATTTCATGTAATTTTCATGTGTCACGAAATATTCTTCATTTGCTTTTTTTTTCCCTAACCATTTAAAAATGTGAAGACCATTCTTAGCTTTTAGGCCATTTAAAAACAGGTGGTAGGCAAGATTGTGCTCACAGCCCATAGTGTGCTGAATGATGCTCTACACGTGGTCAGAATTGGTACGAAAGCCCCAAATTAAACCCACCCTTCAAAGAAGAACCTCAGTCCCCTTATTATTGGATTGGCAATCAGTTAACAAACACTTTGTGCCAGTTACACCAGTCTATTTGGAAGGAGATCTGGGGAAGAACAGGAGAAACTAGACTGGGTGGAAGGGCATAGGAATAGGTACAGCAGACACTGCAATTTCTCTGGGTGAGAGGAACAAGGCAGAGGGGTCCAAGTTCTCCATAGGGAGCACAGTGTAGACAAGACCAAGGTGAGGACAAACATAACCATCCCTCACCAAGACTGTGGTGAGGGGTGGTTAACTCCATTCTCCCCTTCTATAATCTCAGTTTAAATGGTAACAAGTTCAAACACTTATAACTACTCTTCCCTCCATGTAATCCTTCCCCACCAGGACCTCCCAACTACCTCCATCATAAGTATCTCAGGAATAGTCTCTCATCAGTTTGGAAAGTAATAATTGTGGGCAAGAGATGAGCAAGGCAGCCAGTTCTGCTTTGCAGTAGTTCACTGTCTACTTTGTCATTAGCTATGAATGCCTCTGAAAATAATGGCACAGCACCGGTAAATCCAGGAGGCTCTGGCTTTCTAACACTCAGCTCTGCCATCCCTTTCTAGCATTTAAAAATGGACTCTATTTGGCCAGGCGCAGTGATTCACGCCTGTAATCCCAGCACTTTGGGAGGCCGAGGGGGGTGGATCACGAGGTCAGGAGATCAAGGCCATCCTGGTTAATGGTGAAATCCCATCTCTACTAAAAATACAAAAAAAAAAAAAAATTAGCCAGGCGTGATGGCGGGTGCCTGTAATCCAAGCTACTCAGGAGGCTGAGGCAGGAGAATCACTTGAATTCGGGAGGTGGAGGTTGCAGTGAGCTGAGATCGTGCCATTGCACTCCAGCCTGGGTGACAGAGCAAGACTCCATCTCAAAAAATAAATAAATAAATATATAAAAAGGACTCTATTTTTTTTCCCCTAGCAGAGTCAGATTTCTTGGAAAAGTCATGGGCAACTGTGGCCCCGCTCCCATTCTTGCCATTTAATCTTTTAACTCTCAACAATGCAATTGTTCACCAATACTTTTGTGTTGCCAAATCAAATGAACTAGTCTCTGCAACATCTGACACTGTTGGCCATACCCCATCTCCTAAATTGGTCAAATTTCTGGCATCCCTGATGGCACTCTCTCCTAGTTTTCCCTCCTACTTTTCTGGCGTCCCCTTTTCAGTCCCTTTGGGACTCCTTTCTTTCAGCAACCCTTTAAGTATTGGTGTTCCCTGGAGTTTTGTCCTCAACCTTTACTCTTCTTAGACTATACACTTGCCCTGGATGGTCCTCTCATTTACTCCCACATGCCTTCTGTTACCACCCATTTGCTAATGTCTTCCAAGCTTACCTCTTCAGCTCAGATCTTGCTCTGAGTTCCACACTACCCATATCTGAACCACTTCTGGTCAAATCCACTTGGATGCTATGCAATAGCAGTTTTTTGTTTTTGTTTTTTTTTTAAATATGGAACGCTTCATGAATTTGCATGTTCTTAAACTGTATTCTTCACAATAGCGTTCCTCAAGAAATAAAAAAAGTAAGTTTGATGATAGCAATCATTTATTTTTGAATTTATTTCCACATAGACATAATGCAACATCAAACACATTTATATAATATTTTTTATTATGTAACAATTTATTATATTTAATAAGTCTATTTATTGCAAGCAATAGAAACCAATTCTGGCTAACTTACATTTTAAAAATGAGGATTTATTGGAAAGATACTGATCTAACTCATGAAATGAAAGTAATAGTTGAATAAGCTAGCCTCAGGTAGAATAGCCACAGGGACCTTAGAAGCAGGGGTTGAGTTGCCATTAATATGCTCACCTGCAAAGGCCTCCTGCCTCTTTATCTTTCAAGTTTTGCTTTGCTGGGAGAGCCTCTCTCACTGGCTCAGCTTGTATTAGGTGTGTACCACTGGATTCATTGGTTGTGGCCAGGTACAGTATTACCTCTATGGATTAGAGCTATTCCTAGAGAAGGGAGAATCATATGAAAAGTAACCACCTCAATACAGCTATTTTCAACATATGGCATCTCAGACAATTGTATGAGATCATCTGAGGCATAAACATAAGGTTAAATCTGTGTATTAATGCTCAAACAGCATTTCCTAACTACTCAGGTGACATATGTCATCTGCTTGATGATCTCTGGTCGGTCACTTGTCTTATCACATATTCAAATTACATTTATCATGTGATTCAATATTGATTTATTAATTTAAAATTATATATTCCACGAATTTCCTTTGAATCTCTGACTAAAAAGGTTTTTTTAATTTTACTTTGAAAAGCTCCAAGCACACACAGAAGAGAAGAATCTAATAAACTCCAATGTACTCTCATGAATGTCAACAATTTTCAACATTTAACATTCTTCCATTCTTGTTTCATCTATTGTTCTGCATTTTTTGGAGTATTTTAAACAAATTCTGTCATTACATTTCACCAGTAAATACTTTTAGGCATATCTATAATAGATAATAACCTTTCCCTTAACATAACTATAATGCCATCACCACAACCAACAAAATTAAAAATTACTTAACTTCATTTGACCCAATCTGTTCATTTCTCCTAGTTATCTCAAAAATGTGTAAGAGAATGAAGTTTTAAATGAAAAGCAGTGTCTTATAATTTTCAAACCGTGCCATTAGTTTAAAAAAATTGGTGAGTTTTCTATTTTATGTTTCATAAGCTATTGATGGTTCAATAATGAATTCTAATTAGGTATTCCATAGGCAAATAAAGTTAGCAATTGTTACTCTGAATGTATCTCCATCTCAAGATTACAAGAGTACACTCATCACTTTCCCTTCCCAATATATTCCAACTCCTCTCTTATATTTAAGACTTCAGTGAATAACAAGATGTCCACCCGAGCTACAAATGTGGGTCATCGTTGATGACCCCATCTTCCTCAAACCTTCCCATTCAATTGTCCTAACAATTCTACCTTTCTAATAGCTCTTGAATCTTCCTTTCTTTTCCTTCCATTCCTACTGGTCCAGGCCTTCAATGGTTGGTTTTCACTGATTATTGCAACTTTCTTTATAATTGGTCTCTCTCTCTCCAATCTTATTATTTTCCACAGTGCTGCCAGAAGGATATTTTTATTATGCTTAGTTGATCATATTATACTTCTGCATGAAAACCTTCCATGATTGTTAATGATCTACTTTCCTTGTCATGACCCATAATGACCTGAAGTCTACTTACCTACTTCTATATGTCTTTTCAGGTGAAATCTCACTCCTCTCAGGAAGCCTTCCTTGAACCCAGAGTTGAGATTAATAGCCTCTTCAGTACGTTTCCAAAGCACCCTGTGTTGGCCATTATCACTGTTTTAATTGTATTATTCTCTTCCATTTATATGTCTGTTTCATAGTCACCTCATCTCTACTGCAAGGTCCTTAGGGGAGGGTGTACTATATATATATATATCTCCACCAAGAGGCCCACTAAGTGACCTTTCACTCGATGAACAAATGGGCTACCAGTCTCTGAAGGTGCTGAACTGAGAATGGAAGAGCCTTCAGGTATTAGATGATGATGGATTGTCCCTTCTAACAGATGTTTCAAAGGTAAATCTTATCAGGTTTATCTATAAGCCATTCTTTTTTTTTTTTTTTTGAGATGGAGTTTCACTCTGTTGCCAAGGCTGGAGTGCAGTGGTACGGTGTCCGCTCACTGCAACCTCCGCCTCCCAGGTTCAAGTGATTCTCCTGCCTCAGCCTCTGGAGTATCTGGGACTACGGGCACGTGCCACCATACCCGGCTAATTTTTTTTTTTTTTTTGTATTTTTAGTAGAGATGGGGTTTCACTGTGTTAGCCAGGATAATCTTGATCTCCTGACCTCGTGATCCACCTGGCTCGGCCTCCCTAAGTGCTTTGATTACAGGCATGAGCAACCACACCCAGTCTCTATGAGCCATTTTACACCTCCACAGCCTTCCCTATATACTCTACTACCCTTCCAATTCCATTCTAGGCCCTTCCCAAGCTCCTTGCCAACTACCATTTTCTTCCTACTCCCTGCCACCTCCTGTTTCAGAGAGCAAACCTAGCCATCCAGCTCCCACATTTACTCTTATTTCTACCTCAGTACATTTCTCCATACCCATATTCATCCTCCCTTTTAGTGACATTACTATGATGCAGCAATCCTTACAACTACTCTACAAGGTTATAATTTATTATCCCCATTATATAAACAAGAAAACTGGGACTCAGAAAGGTTCATTTATTTAGCAAATATTTATTGGCCACCTTCTGTGTCTAGCAGTATGCTCTGTATCAGATACCTGCCATCATCACACTTAAAGTCTAATGAAAATAAAGAGACATTAAACAAGAAAACATACAAATTTATAAACTAAAAGGTCCACACACACACACACACAAAATCTCTTAGAATTGATAAATTCAGTACAGTTGCAGGATACAAAATTATCATATAAAAATTAATGGTGCTTCTGGATACAAACAGTAAACTAGTGGGAAAAGAAATCAAAGAAAGTAATCCCATTTACAATAGCTACAACCCCTCCCCCCACCAAAAAAACAAAATAGAATACCTAGAATAAACCAAGGAGGTGAAAGATCTCTACAAGGAAAACTATGAGACACTGAGGAAAAAAACTGAAGAGGTCACAAAAAAATAGAAAGACATCCTATGTCTTCGGAAGAATTCGTATCGTGAAAATGACTGTACTACCAAAAGCAATCTACAGATTTGTTGCAATTCCTATCAAAATACAAAGATATTCCTTGCAGAAACAGAAAAAACAAACCTAAAATTAATATGGAACCACAGAAAACACAAATAGTCAAGGTAATTCTGAACAAAAAGAACAAAGCTGTAGACATCATACCACCCAACTTCAAAATATACTACAAAGCTACAGTAACTAAAAGAGCACGGTACTGGCATAAAAACAGATACACAGACCAATAGAACCGAATAAAGGACCCAGAAATAATAGATCCACATCTTAACAGCCAACTGATTTTCAACAAAGGTACCAAGATATTCAATGGGAAAAGGACACACTCTTCATTAAATGGTGCTGGGAACACTGAATAACAATATGCAGAAAAATACAACTACACCCCCATCTCTCATCAAATACAAAAATTAAATCAAAATGGATTAAAAACTTAAATGTAAGACCTGAAACTATAAAAGTTACTGTAAGAAAATACTGGGGAAATGCTCAAGACTTTGAGCAAACATTTTTTGGTTTAAGACTTCAAAAGGAGAGGCAATGAAAGCAAAAATACACAAATGGGATTACATCAAGCTAAAAGGCTTCTGCCACAGCAAAGGAAACAATCAACAGAGTGAAGAGACAACCTTCAGAATGGGAAAAAATATGTGCAAACTATCCATCTGATAAGGGATTAATAACCAGAATATATAAGGAACTCAAACTCAACAGCAAAAATCCTCCAAATAATCCCATTTGAAAATGGGCAAATGATCTGAATAGACATTTCTCAAAAGACATACAAATGGCCAACAGGCATATGAAAAAATTCTCAACGTTACTAACCATCAGGGATATGCAAATCAAAACCACAATGAGATATCATCTGAATCTAATTAAAATGGCTATTATCAAAAAGACACAGATAAGAGATACTGGTGAGGATGCAAAGAAAGGGGAATGCTCATATACTGATGGTAGAAATGTAAATTAACATAGCCACTATGGAAAACAGCATAAAGGTTCCTCAAACAACTAAAAATAGATCTACTAGATGATTCAGCAATCCCACTGCTGGGTATATATCCAAAAGAAAGGAAATCAGTGTATCAAAGAGATGTGTACATGCCCATGTTTATTTCAGCACTACCCACAGTAGCCAAGACATGGAATCAATCTAAGTGTCTATCAAGTGACTGGATAAAGAAAATGTGGTGTATATATATACAATGGATACTAGTCAGCCATAAAAAAGAATGAAATCCTGTCATTTCCAGCAACATGGATGGAACTGGAAGTCATTATGTTAATGAAATAAGTCAGACACAGAAAAAAAAATATCACGTTCTCATAAGTGGGAGCTAAAAAAGTTGATCTTATGGAGGTAGAGGGTAGAATGATGGTTACCAGAGACTGGGAAAGGGAGGGGGTGGAGGGGGGATGAAGAGAGATTCATTAATGGTTACAAAAATATAGTTAAATTGAAGGAATAAATTCTATAGTGTTTGATAGCACAGCTGGGTGACTACAGTTAACATTAATTTACTGTATATTCCAAAATAGCTAGTAGATTTGAAGTGCTCCCAACAGAAGGAAATAATAAATGTTTGAGGTGATGGATATCCTAATTATCCTGATTTGATCATTACACATCGTATGCATGTATCAAAATATCATATGTACCCCATAAATATGTACAATTATTATGTATCAATAAAAAATAAAAAAAAACAATTCAGAAGTCCATAAACTTGGATGGAATAAAAAAAAGTCAACTTTATTTTCAAAAAACTCTCACTGAAATCTAATTTTATGAATGTAGAAAATAAATCTTTGTAGTACCAGCCAGCAGCTGTAACACTGTCATCAATAGAAAACACCATCAATTAATATTTTCATATCACATTATAGTTGTTACAGACATCTTAAAATATCACTTACAATTATGGGAGCTGTTAAACTTGCCAAAAAATCATGCTTTTTAATGTATTAGTAAAGAAACACTGTATTGTATTAATACAGAAACACATACTACTAGATCATCACACGTTTCTTTGAATATAGTAGTGTCCCCCACACAGCACCAAATGTGATTATACAGTTTATTCCTATCCATAGATATACCTATGATAAAGTTTAATTTATAAATTTGCACAGGAAGAGATTAACAACAAAATAGGACAATTATATTGTAATAAAAGTTATGTGAATATGGTCTTTCTGTCTCATACACAAAGTATCTTATTGTACTTATTTTCAGACCAGGTTGACCTTGGGTAACTGAAATCACAGAAATTGAAACTGCAGTTAAGGGGGGACCACTGTATTTTGATAACTATAGTTTATATTTTATTTTATGCATTTACAAATATTATCAGACAAGATCCAAAGGCTTCACCAAACTGCCAAAAAAGCTAATGGCACATAAAAAGCTTAAGGAGTCCTGATTTAATCAGTCATTCAATGAACATGACATCCTTCCTGGAACCATCTCCTGTTCTAGCTTCCTCACATTATGTTGCTCTGCTTCTCCTTGAGATCTTCCATTGGTTCCACTTCCTATTCTTGCTTCCTGTATGAAGATGTAACCCAAAGCTCAATCCTTCACCCTAAATTGTTTTTATACCCCCTCTTTTACAAACCTCAGCTACCTTCGTGGCTGATTCAAACATCACCTCAAAGGTGACTCTCAAATCTGCTTTTCCTAATCTTTTTTCTCTAACTTCAATCTTGGATCTTAAACTCCCTGCTGTGCCTAGTAAACAGAATAATATGCCACCCAGAGTCAGCTGGGTTCAAATCCCAGTTCTGCTACTTACTAAAGGTGTGACCTTAGGTAAATATTACCTGCTATGGTTTGAATCTCTCCTCCAAAACTCTTGTTGAAAATAATTGCCATTTTGACAGTTTTAAGAAGTGGGACCTTTAAGAGTTAATTAGGTCATGAGGGCTCTGCTCTCATGAATGGATTAATGCTACTAATGTAGGTATGGGTTCCCATTTAAAAGGGGACATTCTGAGGCCGGGCACAGTGGCTCACACCTGTAATCCCAGCACTTTGGGAGGCCGAGGCAGGTGGATCATGAGGTCAGGAGATGGAGACCATCCTGGCTAACACGGTGAAACCCCGTCCCTACTAAAAATACAAAAAATTAGCCAGGCTTGGTGGCGGGCACCTGTAGTCCTAGCTACTTGGGAGGCTGAGGCAGGAGAATGGTGTGAACCCGGGAGGAGGAGCTTGCAGTGAGCCAAGATTGCACTACTGCACTCCAGTCTGGGCGACAGAGCGAGACTCCGCCTCAAAACAAACAAACAAACAAAGGGTACATTCTGGCCTCTATTCTCTCTCCATCTCATGTGCTTGTTTGCCTTTCTGCCGTGGGATGATGCAGCACAAGGCTCTCACCAGATGCCAATGCCATGCTCTTGGACTTCCAAGCAACTGGAACTGAGCCAAATAAACTACTGTTTATAAATTACCCAGTCTGTGGTATTCTGTGATAGCATCAGAAAACAGACTAAGACGTCCTTTGCTTCTGTTGTTTCATTTGAAAACTGAGGGTGATAATATTAGTATTGACTTTATAGGGTTATAAGGATTAAAAGAGTTACTACATGTACTCATTGCAGTACCTGACACATTTTAACTACTCAATAAATGTTTTGTATCACCAATCACATCTCCTTCCAACCCCGACATTTTAATTTGATGTTTATTAACATGGACGGTGCCAGCCACTGGAAGACAGAGTTTCTATCTAACAACATAATTCTGATCAAGTCATTAGTCAAAAAATTTCAGTGGTTCCCCACTGATTCCAAACTTAACAGCACTGGAAACCTTCTATAATGTGTTCTCTAATATAAATTTACCTCCCATTTTCTCTTCTCCTGCTCTACTTCTTGTAGCTTATGTTCTGGCCAGACTGGACTAGACTACTCTCTGTGACAATAACCTGTGCTGTTCTATGTCTGTCTTTCCTCACATAATTCTAATGTCTCAGGTTTGAAGGCAATAATTTTGTCTATGATTATTCCCCTATACATGGCACCCCATAAAACATACACATTTCAATCTTACCTAAGTCACATACTTACTTACACATCAATTCACCTCCATATTTGCTCAATTTGTGAGAACCTAATATTGGCC